>NC_000001.11:233911394-234062909 GCF_000001405.40 Homo sapiens
ATTTTAAAAGAAAAGAGTTAGAGGGCTTGAGGGGGTGGTGAGTTGAGCATTAGAGCACAGCATTTTTTATTGGGTCAGAGAATTAATTTTATTCTTAAATATGCTAACAATTTAGTAAATAGTTTCTGAGTTTTGATGTAATGAAAATGCAGAACTATTATCTTTTAAGGAAACGAGGTGACCCCAGCTCACTTAGATCATTGCCATGGGGTTATAAACCCTTCGCATCTGCCATGGGGTTAGAAATCCCTCGTGCCTATTAATGTGCCTTTATTTTCATTTGTTCATTTAGCAAACTTTTAAAGCATTTACTATGTGCCAGAATACAGAGATAAGTGATGGGAGACACAGTCCTCACCCTAAAAGCTTTCCAACTAGAGCAGGTGAAATCTGAAGTACGCATATGGTGGTGATGGGGAAATGGCCTCACCTCCAGGGAAGTGAAGTCTTCCAGGCTTTAGGGAGACGTGGGCAAGGAGAGTTCTCCCTGCTCTTCAGAAGTCCCTCCTGGATCTCATTAAAAAGAGTCTAGTCTAGTCTAAAACTCTCCAGCTTTGAGCCTTGGTCCTTTCCTTAAGCAGCTGGAAACATTCAGGTTAGTTGCATTCAAACATAAATCCACATGCAAATGCACCATTGATGTTTGTTAAGCATTTTACTGTAAGCTGTTAGGGATGCTCTGGCCCTGCAGCCCTGAGGGGTGTCCACTTAGTTTTTTTAATGTCTGGAGGAGCAGAGGAAATAGAATTCACATCCCAGCTTCATAGCTATATGACAAGTTCACTGCTATGAGCCTCTAGTTTCGCCGTGCGCGGTGGCTCATGCCTGTAATCTCAATGCTTTGGGAGGCCAAGGCGGGTGAATCACGAGGTCAGGAGTTCAATACCAGCCTGGCCAAGATGGTGAAACCCCGTCTCTACTAAAAATACAAAAATTAGACCGGCATGGTGGTGGGCACCTGTAATCCCAGCTTCTCGGGAGGCTGAGGCAGAGAATTGCTTGAATCCGGGAGGCGGAGGTTGCAGTGAGCCGAGATCGTGCCACTGCACTCCATCCTGGGCGACAGAGTGAGACTCCATCACAAAAACAAACAAACAAAGAAACAAACAAACAAAAAAAACGAAAAGGAGATAATAGAACTACTTTCTAGGATTGTCGTGAAGATTAAATGAAATACAGTAGTCCCGCTTTATCGGAGGGAGAATGCATTCCAGGCCCCCCAGTGGATACTGTGGATAGTACTGAACCCAATATACACTATTTTTTCTTATATAGTAGTGAGCAGGTGGCGTAGACAGCGTGGATACGCTGGACAAAGGGATGATTCACATCCTGGGTGGGATGAAGTGGGAAGGTTCAAGATTTCATCATGCAACTCAAAATGGCACACAATTCAAAACTTGTGATATGTTTGTTTCTGGAATTTTCCTTTTAGTATTTTCAGACCATAGTTGACCAAGGATAACTGAAACCATGGGAAGCAAAACCATGGAAAAGGGAGGACTCTTCCAATGTCTGTACAGCTGGCATCTATTAATGCACCTTTATATCCATTTAGCAAATCTTTTGAGCATTTACTTTGTGCCAGAATGCAGAGATTAGTGATGGCAGACACAGTCCTTGCCCTAAAAGCTTACTTACTGGAGTAGGTAAAATCTGAAGTGTTTATATGGTGTGATAAAGATCAGTTTGCAGTGCCTGGGGAGCCCTTTCTCATATCAGTGAGTTCATTCTTCAGCTGGAGGAGTCATTCACAACAGAAATAGAGGGGAGGTTTGCATTCCAAGCAAAGGGACAACATATGCACGGGAATGTAGTCAGCTATTGCTAGACGGTAATTCCGCTTGATTAGAACATCATGGGGCAGGAGTGTCGTGTATGAAGTTGGACTTGTGAGCAGAAACAGACTACAGTACATTACAGTACCAGTCATCTGATGCCTGTCACCTTCCTCATCCAGGTCCCAGCCTAAGTGTCACCTCCTCCCAAGAGCCTTTACTGATTACAGGAGGTGCTCTTGCATCTCCTATAGTGTTGTCACTTCTTTTACATAGTCACGACTAGTTTAAGAATGTGGCTGAAGCTGTTGCAGATAGAAAGCTCTCTAGGGGCAGGGCTTGTTATTGTGTCTCCACCCCTCACTGTGGTCTTGGCACATAGAACTCTGGTGATTCTTCCACAGTGCACAGAGTATCTCGATCAATAAACATTTGTTAAATGTACTTATTAAAGGCCTAAGTGGCCGTTTCCTCAGGCACATACACAAATGGCTCCTAAGTAAGCATCTACATTTCTGTAGGGTCGTCCAGAATTATCCTGCATAGAAACACTTCTAATTGCATTCCTCTGTCAAGAAATGGGACTTCTGTTGCTGGTTCTCTTCAGTCTTCACTTTAACCCTGCTAAAAACACTGACAAGTAATCGCACTCCTAGAACTTACATTATCCAGTCTTATATTGGGGTGTTCTGTCCAGTTTTGGTAACTTTAAAAATGATGTGGAAAAAATGAACAGGGCCCAGGGAAATACAGAAAATGTATTGATGGAATCAAATATGTGTTCTACAGGCAAGGTTAAAGGATTAGGGGAGGAGGAAATTAGGGAAGAACGTGACATGTCTTCATGAGAACCATCAGAGCAGGCACCTTTGGAATGGCTTCCCAGCTCAAGACCCCTTAACTGCCCTGTACTACATCCTCCGTTTGGGCCCTTAGCAGCCAGACTGACATCATCTTCCTCCTGGGCCGTGTAGATTAGACCAGGGGTAGACTCCTGATCCATGCTAACTCACTCAGCTCCTCTCTCCTCCAATTCGAGATTAACACCAGAAAGTTGGGGTCTAGTCTGACAGAGCGGTCTATTGAGTGGAGGAGGCTAGTCTGTCTCCCATATGGATAGAGAGGCAGAGAAAGCTAGTCTACATAAAAGAAGGCAGCGGCAGGTGTGTCAAGTAACCCAGAGAGAGCAGTGGTGGTTTCCAGGACTCCATGCTGGGGCCTGTTTCCCTCCTACATCAATGTCTTGCTGCAGCTCCTCCTCCAAGCCCCTGAGACACCACTGTTGCAAAGCAACAGCCTTCTTCCTGCTAAGTGAGCAGAAACCAGGTTCTGTTGTGTGCAACTACAGGCTCCTTTCTGGATAGGATTTCAGAGCCATTTCCATTCAAGCTCGTGCATGACAAAATAAGGATCTACATACCAATGAAGTTTCAACTGGAAATACAAAATCACTTTCTGACTACTAAGATCATAAAGAAGGTCAGGAAGCCTCAGTCACTGGAGAGATTCACAAAGATGTGGACACCCAGTCACTTGAGCTGGATGAAGTACTTACTTGTCCCACAGCAGGAGGATGAACCATATTTCTTTTTTTTTTGTACATGATGTCTTTTGGTTCAAAGCAGTGGTGAATGTGCATTGATTAATAGAGCAGGGAACCAGTTTTGTTTCATTATCTTACTGCACAGCCTAGAAAGGGACTTGTGCAGTTAGGAACCTGGCAAATTCTTCTGGTGGATGATGGTGGCAAGCACTGAAACAATTGCCTAGGACATGGGCACAGATTTTTCTTTCATGCAGCTTAATTTATGACAGCATTTGAGATTGGAGGAAACGAATTGCTCTCCTCAGGTGATTTGCAGTGTTAAAGGCTACAGGCTGTTTTGAACTCCTCAAACAGAGATATTCAGTGCAACTGCTCAGAACAGTTTTCTGGTTTTGAGAAATGTTTTCTGTGACATTCAAATTTTCTCCTTGTCAATCTGCTATCTACCATTTCCAGTGCTTGACCAGATCAGGATCTATCAGGAAACTATTTTTATCCTTCTTCACCATCTACTTGTAACAATGTACTGTTATAAAAATTCAGGTCTATCCTCAAAGTTTTATTCAAAAGGGTCAGAAGAAAAATGTTTCTTAGTGTATGTCAATTTCGCTACCTTACTTTCTTTTCAGAAATTGAGTCAGCTCATTTTTGATGAATGTATATTAAGATGTCCTGTTCTTAGCCAGCAATGGTGGTGCGCACGTGTAGTCCCAGCTACTCTGGAGGCTGAGGTGGGAGGATCACTTGAGTCCAGGATCTCAAGGCTGCAGTGACGTATGTATGATTGCACCACTGCATTCCAGCCTGGGTGATAGAGCAAATTCTTGTTTTTTTTTAAAAAAGTCCCTTGTTTCTAAAAGAAAAAAAGGAATAGAATGATGATGGCAGGTGTATTAGTCTGTTTCACGCTGCTAATAAAGACATATCTGAGATTGGGCAATTTACAAAAGGAAGAGGTTTAATTGGACTTACAGTTCCACGTGGCTGGGGAAGCCTCACAATCATGGTGGAAGGCAAGGAGGAGCAAGTCACATCTTACATGGATGGCTGCAGGCAAAGAGAGAGAGAGCTTGTTCAGAGGAACTCCTCTTTTTAAAACCATCAGATCTCATGAGACTTATTCACTATCATGAGAACAACATGGGAAAGACCTGCCTCCATGATTCAATTATCTCCCGCCAGGTCCCTCCCACAACATGTGGGAATTCAAGATGAGATTTGGGTGGGGACACAGCCAAACCAGATCAGTAGGTATGGGACAGTTGGGTTTTGTGCAGCATTCTGTTCATGCTGTGCACGTGTGGGAGTTTAATAAACATTTTCCATGGCAAAAGTGCATTACACTGGTGTGAGTACTAAGGAAGAACTGAAGTCCCTTCCTATATACTTTCTTTTCTTTAAATAATTGGCCAGATAAAATATAGTTTGAAGACTTTTAAATGCCATATTCCAGAACAACTAATTTCAAAGGTTTATTCAAACACTTTTACTTTAAGTCGACATTTTGTTTTATTAACTATTAAATGTAAAAATATTTCATTTACTTATTTATTTATTTTTATTTTTAGAGGCAAGGCCTAGCTCTGTTGCCCAGCCTGGAGTGCAGTGGCACAATCATCGCTCACTGCAGCCTCTAACTCCTGGGCTCAAGCAATCCTCCCGCCTCAGCCTCTTGAGTAGCTGGGACTATAGGCTTGCACCACCACATCTGGCTAACTTTTTAAAAAACCTTTGTAGAGACCAGGGCCTCACTATGTTGCCCATGCTTATCTCAGACTCCTGGCCTCAAGCAGTCCTCTCACTTTAGCCTTCCAAAGTATAAACTTCTTTTATAGGTTTATCTGATTTAGCAGTGGGTACGATTTCAAAGTTACGTGTAAATAAAGTATATGTAATTACGATTAATTGTAAAAATCCTCAGAAAACATAGTACTGGTGTATAAGAAAATGTGTTTGTTCTATCCGCAACTGACATTGTATCTGGTGATTGTCTCTCAATACGTTGGAGAGTTCCTATGTGGTGGCTGGAAGGTGGAAGAAGGAATATTTTTCAGCAGGACACACCACCACCATGTGGTCCCTCTTTAGAAGCCCATGGACGAGGCCGAGGCTTCAGAAAATCACTACATGAAATTTCAGACACTATTCATGGAGGAATTCATTTGTGAATGGGTTGGAAGCAGATGAAACAAAGGAACCAACTGTTGAATGTAAATTCATTTATTTGTTAATCTATTTATTCAGTGATTCATTCCTTCTTCATTCAGTCATCAAATAATCCACGATCTCTAAAACACGGCAAATGTATTAGCTCCTCAGGGAAGTATATACTAAATATATGGTATGGTTGTTATTTCCTAGAAAATAACATAGTGGGATTACAAGACATATACATCTCGATCCGTCAGTTGGATTGGATTGGCTCCATGCCATACTTTCTTTGTCTTGGAGCCCTCTCACAGGTCCCGTAAATGTCTCTTTTTGCTCCTTCTCTAAATATCTTGGGAGTATTTTCAATCAACAATGACCAGCCTTAAACTAAACTCTATATTATGTACATAATTTTGCATAGTATTTTATTGTAGGGCACCATAAACAGCTTCTTAGCTACAGGGGGAGATACTTCAGGAAACTTCTTTTTCTCTTCCTTTGGAAACTTGAGCTCTGCTGCTGTAATCAGAGTTCTAATTTGTTCATTTGGTGTATCCCAGTCATTAAACATTTTTTTTTTCTCTTTCATGAAATCACGCAACAATGAAGATTTTTGACTGGGTTGATGAGATCAAGCTACTAAACCAGCACATTTCTTCTCTAATGTTTTATGCTGCCAGCATTCTCTTTCTTTCCAGCTCTAAAAAAGCTAGCCTGAGACATTTTTCTTCCTCTAGCAGAACTAACATGGACTAGAATTTAAAGGAGTTGGGATATGCTCCCAGCTCTACCTTTTCTCTCTTGCACTACTGTACATTATGTTTGTAGAGTTTCTCCAATTCCTTTAGGAGAAAATTCCCAAGTTCATAGAAATGATCTTTTAAAGCTGTTTTCTTGGCTGTTCCACTTCACAATAATAGCACTATCCAATTCATATAGATGTGAATGGAGTGATGTTTCTAAGGGGAGTCTCTACATTTATACGCTAATAAAAACCAAAATACCCTGGTGAATGTGACTGTTACTTTACATAATGTCGACAACAGTAAGATCTGGAGTTTTATTCAGCACTTCCGTGCTTGAGTTGATCCTGGAATCCCTTTCTACAGTGGATACATGTAAGACTCAGGGATTTGGCTTAGCTAAAATGCAGGGAAGTTTGGGTTGTTAAAGGATTATCCTTCCTGCTCCTCTCTTCCTGACTTGCTTGCTTCTGATCTTGATCCCCACCTTTTCTTTGTGCTGAGCACGTGGAAGTCTGAGTCCCAAAGGGAAGGCTGTGCCTCTTTGGAACAGATGACTCCTAATGGTCAGCAGGTGGTCTGAGGTCACTTGAATACCCAGGGCCATGCCCTGGATTTCTTAATGGTTTTTAGGCTGATGTGGCTTCTTTGTAGTGAGGGAGGTAGCTTAGGCTGCCAGAATCTCTTGGCCACCTGTGCCTGATAAGATGGCTGTGTGTGATAACAGTTATCTTATGGTGGCTTGGCTCTCTTGTCCCGAGACCTCAGCAGTGCACTGGGACTGCCTCATTTTCTATGTGGAGGTGTCTGTGTGATTTTGGGGGAAACATAGCTATAAAAGACATTTTGGAGCCAGTTGGGAAAATTTGAAGGTCTGTTGCTTATTAAATTATTGTATGGGGGCCAGGCACTGTGGCTCAAGCCTGTAATCCCAGCACTTTGGCCAGGAGTTTGAGACCAGCCTGGCCAATGTGGCAAAACCCTGTCCTACTAAAAATACAAAAATTAGCCGGGTGTAGTGGCGGGCACCTGTAATGCCAGCTACTTGGGAGGCTGAGGCAGGAGAAGTGCTTGAGCCTGGGAGGCGGAGGTTGCAGTGAGCCAAGATCATACCATGCACTCCAGCCTGGGTGACAAGAGTGAGACTCCGTCTCTCTCTCTCTCTTTCTCTCTCTCTCTCTCTCTTTCTCTCTCTCTCTCTCTCTATATATATATATATATATTTGTGTGTTTGTGTGTGTGTGTTTATTTCTTGTGCTTAATAGTACTAGTGTGGTTATAAAAGGTCCTTTTTCTTAACAGATGCTGAGATATTGTCATTTTGTCTGTAATGTACTTTAAGTAGTTCAACAAAAGTACACACAGATACATCAAATGACAGATGAATAAAATGTGGCCAAATTTTAATATTTGATGAATCTATCTATATATATATGTTCATGGGACCATTTTTTCAACCTTTCTGTAAATGTGAACATTTTCAAAATAAAAAATGTCATTGCTTCAGCCAATGGCCTTACGTAATTCAGGCTTGAAAGGGAAATACTATGCCTATTTACTTCAGTTATTGCAAAGTAAGTTAGCCAGAGCAGGGAGAATGGTGTGAATTTTGGCTAGTTGTCCTGAGGGAAGGTGGAAATTCTTTGTGACAAAGGGCAGCACTTGTCGTTGCTGGCTTCAACCACACTTAGTGCCATCTTCCAGATAGAACTGTGCCTAGGACAGAGTCCACCTTGGTTGCAACCCCCCAACCTCTGGCCACATCACTGTCCCTCAGATATGCTCATTGGTGTGTGGTGACCAATAAACATGCTTGTCTCAGGCTCCAGAATTCTTTTGATAAAGGAAATCTGTTTTTTCAGAGATTTAGACTTCTGGTTCATTTCTTTAAATGGTCTAATGTTGCACCCTAAAAATAAACATATGTCCCGATTTGGGGACCACTTGCCTTACCCAGGAGTGGGCAGGTAGCATAGAAACTTAGTCTGCAAAATAGACAGTTTTTAAAGGACTCATTGGCCTGTAGTGCAGATTGCATTTTGTGTACTTGGTCTTCTGAATGCTGGTGTCTTATCTTCCTATTATATTTTGCATCTTTCCCAACCAATTTTCATTTATGCTCAGGCGTTCTGTCCTTCCCCCCGGCTACCAAGACTTAGGGTGAGGTCACAGGGCGGGGGTTGGTGTGGGGATGGGGAAGCCGTTTTGAGGGCTGCTCTGGAGGAAGTTGCTGTATCACTGCTCCCTGGAGAAGGATGGGCTTGTGGCAAGAGAGAAAGAATCAAACAGGCTTCTCAATCTCCTTCCTCGCTCTGTACTCCGGCCTCAGACCACTGAGGATTTCCATTTGCCTTCCGCTGCTTAGAACCCTTGGTAGGATTCACCTCATGGGTGAGTCATCTCTAGGAGGGTGTTGTTAATGCCGTTTGCAGATAGAGAGAGACCTGAAGTTACAGAGTAATGAAGAGATTACACAGGAGTTCAATCAGAGATAATACTGCTTTTGTCTCAAGGTGAATATATGAGAATTGGAGGCAATATTGTAAGTTACGGGGTTACCCTTATTAAAAAGGGGAAGATCTGTTTCTTAAGAACAAGAAAAAGGGAGGTCACAGAGAAAGCAGAAATGCTATAATGTTAAAGAACAAGTATGCATTATTCTGGGAGTGGGAGCAATTGATTGGTTTCAGAATGAAATATGCACAAGGTCGGAGAAAGGAGTATTGAGTGGAAGGCAAGAGTGGAGTTTGAATTTCAAATAGTATTTGTGAGAGGAAGCCTGTGTGATCATGCCAACCGTGAAGGAGGAGAGATGGTGACTACTCATAAAGCTGCCACAAGCATGTTTGCAGTTGTCTGAAATGAATGGAAGCACTCATTTCTACATACACATCCAGGAGTGGGATGTCAGGGTTGTAGTGTCCTGACGGACAAACTCTAAGGTGAGCACCAGGTACCCCCTCTGGTGTTCATACCCTTGAATAATCACCTCCCCTTGAGTGTGCGTGGGACCTGTGACTAACTTCTAAGCAAAAGAATATGGCACATACTGGGATATCAATTGTGGAATTGTGTTATGTTACATGAGATTCCGTCTTGCTAGCAAATTCACTTCAGAACTTCTCTCACCCTCTTTTCAGCCTTGATGAAACAATGACCATGTTGGGAGGCTTATGTGGCAAAGGATGGCAGGCGGCCTTTAAGAGTTGAGGGCAGCCTCTGACCAAGAGCCAGCAAAAATCTGAAGCTCTCAGTCCTACAACCACAGTCAACAACGCTGTAGGCAGAAAAACAAATCTTTCCCTGATTGAGCTCCTGGATGGAACAGCCCTGGCTGCTTTCTTGATGTCAGCTTTGTGATACCCTAAACAGAGGGCCAACTAAGCTGTACCCAGATCCCTGATTCACAGAAACTGTGAGATAACACATGTGTCTTGTTGGGTTTGTGATAATTTGCTACATAGCAATATATCACTATTAGAAGACAAATCAGGATTCAAAGAAGCAGAACCACAAGACATATAGAACTCCCTTAACCAAAGTACACTTTCAAAGGAAATGAATAAATTCTCAAAAATAACATTTTATAATAGAACACTATGTAATTTTTTAATAGACTACTTTTCAGAGCTCTTTTAAGTTCATACCAAAATTGAGCAGAAAGTACAGAGATTTCTTATATCCGCCCCACCCCGACACATGCACAGTCTCCCCCATCTTTAACATCACCCACTAGACGGGTCCATTTGTTACGACTGATGAGCCTGCACTGACACATCATTATCACCCAGAGTCCATAGTTTACACCAGGGCTCACTCTTAGTGGCACACATTCTATGGCTTTCTACAAATATCTAATGACGTTTATTCACCATTACAGTATCATAACGAATAGTTTCACTGCCCTAAAAAATCCTCCATGCTCTACCTATTCATCCCTCCCTCCCCTCAAACCCTCTCTGGCAATCGCTAATCTTTTTCCATAGCATTGCCTTTTCTGGAATGTCAGGTAGTTGAAGTCACATAGTAGGCAGCTTTTTCTTTTTTTTTATTATTATACTTTAAGTTCTAGGGTACATGTGCACAACGTGCAGGTATGTTACATATGTATACATGTGCCATGTTGGTGTGCTGCACCCATTAACCCGTCATTTACATTAGGTATTTCTCCTAATGCTATCCCTCCCCCCTCCCCCCAACAGGCCCCAGTGTGTGATGTTCCCCACCCAGTGTACAAGTGTCCATTGTTCAATTCCCACCTGTGAGTGAGAACATGGGTATTTGGTTTTCTGTCCTTGCGATAGTTTGCTCAGAATGATGGTTTCCAGCTTCATCCGTGTCCCTACAAAGGACATGAACTCATCCTTTTGTATGGCTGCATAGTATTCCATGGTGTATATGTGCCACGTTTTCTTTATCCAGTCTATCATTGTTGGACATTTGGCTTGGTTCCAAGTCTTTGCTATTGTGAATAGTGCTGCAGTAAACATATGTGTGCATGTGTCTTTAAAGCAGCATGATTTATAATCCTTTGGGTATATACCCAGTAATGGGATGGCTGGGTCAAATGGTATTTCTAGTTCTAGATCCTTGAGGAACCTCCACCTGTCTTCCACAATGGTTGAACTAGTTTACAGTCCCACCAACAGTGTAAAAGTGTTCCTATTTCTCCACATCCTCTCCAGCACCTGTTGTTTCCTGACTTTTTAATGATCGCCATTCTAACTGGTGTGAGATGGTATCTCATTGTGGTTTTGATTTGCATTTCTCTGATGGCCAGTGATGATGAGCATTTTTTCATGTGTCTTTTGGCTGCATAAATGTCTTCTTTTGAGAAGTGTCTGTTCATATCTTTTGCCCACTTTTTGATGGCCTTTTTTTTTTTTTTTTTTTCTTGTAAATTTGTTTAAGTCCTTTGTAGATTCTGGATATTAGCCCTTTGTCAGATGGGTAGATTGCAAAAATTTTCTCCCATTCTGTAGGTTGCCTGTTCACTCTGATGGTAGTTTCTTTTGCTGTGCAGCAACTCTTTAGTTTAATTAGATCCCATTTGTCAATTTTGGCTTTTGTTGCCATTGCCTTTGGTGTTTTAGTCATGAAGTCCTTGCCCATACCCATGTCATGAATGGTATTGCCTAGGTTTTCTTCTAGAGTTTTTATGGTTTTAGGTCTAACATTTATGTCTTTAATCCATCTTGAATTAATTTTTGTATAAGGTGTAAGGAAGTGATCCAGTTTCAGCTTTCTACATATGGCTAGCCAGTTTTCCCAGCACCATTTATTAAATCGGGAATCGTTTCCCCATTTCTTGTTTTTGTCAGGTTTGTCAAAGATCAGATGGTTGTAGATGTGTGGTATTATTTCTGAGGGCTCTATTATGTACCATTGGTCTATATCCGCGTTTTGGTACCAATACCATGCTGTTTTGGTTACTGTAGCCTTGTAGTATAGTTTAAAGTCAGGTAGCGTGATGCCTCCAGGTTTGTTCTTTTGGCTTAGAATTGTCTTGACAATGTGGGCTCTTTTTTGGTTCCATATGAACTTTAAAGTAGTTTTTTCCAATTCTGTGAAGAAAGTCATTGGTAGCTTGATGGGTATGGCATTGAATCTATAAATTACCTTGGGCAGTATGGCCATTTTCATGATATTGATTCTTCCTATCCATGAGCATGGAATGTTCTTCCATTTGTTTGTGTCCTCTTTTATTTCATTGAGCAGTGCTTTGTAGTTCTCCTTGAAGAGGCCCTTCACATCCCTGTAAGTTGTATTCCTAGGTATTTTATTCTCTTTGAAGCAATTGTGAATGGGAGTTCACTCATGATTTGGCTCTCTGTTTGTCTGCTATTGGTGTATAGGAATTCTTGTGATTTTTGCACATTGATTTTGTATCCTGAGACTTTGCTGAAGTTGCCTATCAGCTTAAGGAGATTTTGGGCTGAGACAGTGGGGTTTTCTAAATATACAATCATGTCATCTGCAAACAGGGACAATTTGACTTCCTCTTTTCCTAATTGAATACCCTTTATTTCCTTCTCCTGCCTGATTGCCCTGGCCAGAACTTCCAACACTATGTTGAATAGGAGTGGTGAGAGAGGGCATCCCTGTCTTGTGCCAGTTTTCAAAGGGAATGCTTCCAGTTTTTGCCCATTTAGTATGATATTGGCTGTGAGTTTGTCATAAATAGCTCTTATTTTGAGATACATTCCATCGACACCTAGTTTATGAGAGTTTTTAGCATGAAGGGCTGTTGAATTTTGTTGAAGGCCTTTTCTGCATCTATTGAGATAATCATGTGGTTTTTGTCGATGGTTCTGTTTAAGTGATGGATTACGTTTGTTGATTTGTGTATGTTGAACAAGCCTTGCTTCCCAGGGATGAAGCCAACTCGATCGTGGTGGATAAGCTTTTTGATGTGCTGCTGGATTTGTTTTGCCAGTATTTTATTGAGGATTTTTGCATCGTTGTTCATCAGGAATATTGGTCTAAAATTATCTTTTTTTGTTGTGTCTCTGCCAGGCTTTGGTATCAGGATGATGCTGACCTCATAAAATGATTTACGGAAAATTCCCTTTTTTTCTGTTGATTGGAATAGTTTTAGAAGGAATGGTAACAGCTCCTCTTTGTACCTCTGGTAGAATTCGGCTGTGAATCCATCTGGTCCTACAGTTTTTTTGGTTGCTATGCTATTAATTATTGCCTCAATTTCAGAGCCTGTTATTGGTCTATTCAGGGATTCAACTTCTTCCTGGTTTAGTCTTGGGACGGTGTATGTGTCCAGGAATTTATCAATTTCTTCTAGATTTTCTAGTTTATTTGCATAGAGATGTTTATAGTATTCTCTGATGGTAGTTTGTATTTCTGTGGGATCGGTGGTGATATCTGCCTTATCATTTTTTATTGCATCTATTTGATTCTTCTTTATTAGTCTTGCTAGCAGTCTATCAATTTTGTTGATCTTTTCAAAAAACCAGCTGTTGGGTTCATTGATTTTTTGAAGGGTTTTTTGTTTCTCTATCTCCTTCAGTTCTGCTCTGATCTTAGTTATTTCTTGCCTTCTGCTAGCTTTTGAATGTGTTTGCTCTTGCTTCTCTTGTTCTTTTAATTGTGATGTTATGGTGTCAATTTTAGATCTTTCCTGCTTTCTCTTATGGCCATTTAGTGCTATAAATTTCCCTCTACACACTGCTTTAAATGTGTCCCAGAGATTCTGGTATGTTGTGTCTTTGTTCTCATTGGTTTCAAAGAACATCTGTATTTCTGCCTTCATTTCGTTGTTTACCCAGTAGTCATTCAGGAGCAGGTTGTTCAGTTTCCATGTAGATGTGCGGTTCTGAGTGAGTTTCTTAATCCTGAGTTCTAGTTTGATTGCACTGTGGTCTGAGAGACAGTTTGTTATAATTTCTGTTCTTTTACATTTGCTGAGGAGTGCTTTACTTCCAACTATGTGGTCAATTTTGGAATAGGTGTGGTGTGGTGCTGAGAAGAATGTATATTCTGTTGATTTGGGGTGGAGGGTTCTGTAGATGTCTATTAGGTCCTCTTGGTGCAGAGCTGAGTTCAAGTCCTGGATATCCTTGTTAACTTTCTGTCTCGTTGATCTGTCTAATATTGACAGTGGGGTGTTAAAGTCTCCCATTATTATTGTGTGGGAGTCTGAGTCTCTTTGTAGGTCTCTAAGGACTTGCTTTATGAATCTGGGTGCTCCAGTATTGGGTGCATATATATTTATAATAGTTAGCTCTTCTTGTTGAATTGATCCCTTTACCATTATGTAATGGCCTTCTTTGTGTCTTTTGATCTTTGTTGGTTTAAAGTCTGTTTTATCAGAGACTAGGATTGCAACCCCTGCTTTTTTTTTGTTTTCCGTTTGCTTGGTAGATCTTCCTCCATCCCTTTATTTTGAGCCTATGTGTGTCTGCACATGAGATGGGTCTCCTGAATACAGCACACTGATGGGTCTTGACTCTTTATCCAATTTGCCAGTCTGTGTCTTTTAATTGGAGCATTTAGCCCATTTACATTCAAGGTTAATATTGTTATGTGTGAATTTGATCCTGTCATTATGATGTTAGCTGGTTATTTTGCTCATTAGTTGATGCAGTTTCTTCCTAGCATCGATGGTCTTTACAATTTGGCATGTTTTTACAGTGGCTGTTACCAGTTGTTTCTTTCCATGTTTAGTGCTTCCTTCAGGAGCTCTTGTAAGGCAGGCCTGGTGGTGACAAAATCTCTGAGCATTTGCTTGTCTGTTAAGGATTTTATTTCTCCTTCACTTATGATGCTTAGTTTGGCTGGATATGAAATTCTGGGTTGAAAATTCTTTTCTTTAAGAATGTTGAATATTGGCCCCCACTCTCTTCTGGCTTGTAGAGTTTCTGCTGGGAGAGCCGCTGTTAGTCTGATAGGCTTCCCTTTGTGGGTAACCCAACCTTTCTCTCTGGCTGCCCTTAACATTTTTTCCTTCATTTCAACCTTGGTGAATCTGACAGTTAGGTGTCTTGGGGTTGCTCTTCTCGAGGAGTATCTTTGTGGCATTCTCTGTATTTCCTGAATTTGAATGTTGGCCTGCCTTGCTAGATTGGGGAAGTTCTCCTGGATAACATCCTGAAGAGTGTTTTCCAACTCGGTTCCATTCTCCCTGTCACTTTCAGGTACACCAATCAGATGTAAATTTGGTCTTTTCACATAGTCTCATATTTCTTGGCGGCTTTATTCGTTTCTTTTTACTCTTTTTTCTCTAAACTTCTCTTCTTGCTTCATTTTATTCATTTGATTTTCAATCACTGATACCTTTCTTCCACTTGATTGAATCGGCTACTGAAGCTTTTGCAAGCGTCACATAGTTCTCATGCCATAGTTTTCATTTCCTTCAGGTCATTTAAGGTCTTCTCTATGCTGTTTATTCTAGTTAGCCATTCATCTAATGTTTTTTCAAGGTTTTTAGCTTCTTTGTGATGGGTTCCTACATCCTCCTTTAGCTTGGAGAAGTTTGTTATTACCGATCTTCTGAAGCCTACTTCTGTCAACTCATCAAAGTCATTTTCTGTCCAGCTTTGTTCCGTTGCTGGCAAGGAGCTGCGTTCCTTTGAAGGAGAAGAGGTGCTCTGATTTTTAGAATTTTCAGCTTTTCTTCTCTGGTTTCTCCCCATCTTTGTGGTTTTATCTACCTTTGGTCTTTGATGATGGCGACCTACAGATGGGGTTTTGGTGTGGTTGTCTTTTTTGTTGATGTTGATGCTATTCCTTTCTGCTTGTTAGTTTTCCTTCTAACAGTCAGGACCCTCAGCTGCAGGTCTGTTGGAGTTTGCTGGGGGTTCACTCCAGACCCTGTTTGACTGGGTATCACCAGCGGAGGCTGCAGAACAGCAAATATTGCAGAACGGCAAATGTTGCTGGTAGGCAGCTTTTTCAAATTGGCTTCTTTCACTTAGTAACATGTACTTAAGGTTCCTGCACATCTTTTCTTAGCTTGATAGCTCATTTCTTTTCAGCATTGAATAACATTGTATTGTCTAGCTGTATCACAGTTTATTCATCCATTTACCACTGGAAGACATCATGATTTGTTTTGGTAATTATGAATAAAGTTTCTATAAACAAACAATCATGTGTAGATTTTGTGTGAACATAAGTTTTCAACTCCTTTGGGTAAATGTTAAAGAGTTAGATTGCTGGATTGATCTCTGTAATTTTTGATATGTAAGTAGGAATGAGCTTAACTCATTGAATAATATTTATTTCCATAAGAAAATTTTTACATTTGTATCATCTAATTTACTTCAAAATGGTTTTTCAAAATTTATACCTATAACAACAAAAAATAAGAATAAGATTGATGCTAAACTCTCTCATTCTAGCAGTAATACTCATGTATGGGCACGTGTACTACTTAAAAAAATTTCCGTCCATTTTACTAAGAGACGCATTCTAATAATTTTATGTTAAATAACTATCGAACTTGTGAGATGTTTACATAATTTTCATTTGAAGTACTAATAAAAACTGAAATTTTAACCCAATTCAGAAGACATTTTTGAACACTAAAATACATATGGACACAGAAAATTAAATAACTGAATTTCCATTCTTATACTTAATTTTTGTCTCCCAGAGTATGATCTATGTCCATGATGCTTCACAGATAAATATATAAGGGAGAAAATGGAATGGTATAAAATTGCTTGTTGCTAAAGAAAACTATCATTTATGTATTTTAAAATAGATTATTATTGGTATCAAATAACTATGGTAATTAGATTCCTTAAATAGATATAAAAAGTAATGTAGTAGCTTTATTTTAAAGTATTAATATTTATAAATTCTGAAAATCATATCTTATAACTTTCAAATTTATTATGGAAAAGATTCAGAATGAATGAAAACATTCAAACATGATACATTTTTTTTCAGAAGTCTTTTATGGAGGGTACAGAAGTCAAAATGTTTGAAGACCTCTGATAAACCCTTCCAACTTCCCTGTTCTTGGCACTGTAAATTTTCTGCATAAGCCCTAGCCCTCTGCTTCCTCACATGTTGCCAGCAATAAACAATGGGCAGCAGTAATCATGGAAGTCAAGTCGACCTATAGTGAGCAAATTTTCTGGTAAAGCCAAGGAGAAATGGGATAATTTTCTGAGCACTGAGGTCACACTATGGGTTCTGTAAGAGGTAATTTATCAAATAGTTTTTTAGAAGAAATGTGAGCACATCACTGAGTGAGTGAGTCACTGTCTCTCCCTTTCCTTTACTCACAAATAATAATAATAATTGGAACCTGCAGTTTTACACATAACCTAAATCTACTGAGAGAGAATATAGTAGAGTGATTAAGATGATGGACTTAATTAGTCATTGCTGAGTTTGAATCCCGCTACCTGCTTACTGCCTGGGCTCTGGGGAAACTAGTCAGCCTCTCTGAACCTACTTTTCCTTTTTCCTTTTCCGTAAAATGACAGTTCTAGTTCAGATAGTTGTTGAAAATATTTTGAGATAATGCATCCAAAGGGCTGAATACAGTACTGGTGTTTGGAAGGTGGCTAGTTAGTGACAACTTTGGTTAATATTAGATTATTATTGTTGAAAGTCTTGACTTACAAAAGGAATCTTATGAAAGGGGTTCATTATAGGGCCCTTTCAAAAGGAGAGCTTCTCTGATATATTTGAAATATAATTCGACTTCCGAAAATAATGCAGGGTGGTAAGTAGTATCAGCGAGCTGTTACTGTGTAATGCTTCCTGGCAACTTACCCTGATCTGATCTCTATACCTTATTATGTATTGAAACATGGCTATGCACTCCATGAATATGTACAAGTCTGATTTGTCAATTTAAAAATTAAATTAAATTTAAATAAAGTCTTAGTGGCTTCAAGCAATAGTACAAACATTTAAAGCCTGTGTTCTCCTCATGTCTGTTAATATAGAATACATTTGGCCAAAATAAGTCTCATGGTCAACCCCAAGTCAGAGGGCAAGGCAGTACTCTGTCTACCATGAAACCATGGCAATCTGCAAATATAGTGAGGAGTAAAGATTTGGCCCAATAATACAATCTACCACAAGGGTAGAGAAACAGAATTAGCCCTTAGGGCACACCTGAATTCTAGTTTTGGGGCTGCCAATTCCGTTGGTGTCATAGACCAAGTCTCTTATCCAGCTTGACCAACATTACCTTTTATGTTCAATTAAGGGATTCAGCAAGATTACATCCTGAATCTCTTCCAGCACTAAACTTTTAATGCGTCTAAGATTTATTTACAATGTCTTAGGAAATGTACTACTCTGTAAGTGAGAGTTATTGAGAAAAGCAGCCTAATCTGACCTCTTCACTTTGTAGTGGAAAAAGCCCACTACTTTACCCCGATCCTAAATCACTGGAAATGGACACACATAATAAAATAGTTCCTTTTCTTCTTACCACTCTTTTTCCTTTTCATTTCTTTTAGTACATTGACTAAAAATATATTGACTAAATCTCTTTGGATTAATTATGTTGAACACTACTATGTGGTGGATTGAGTGTTTGCATTTCAAAGCTTTGGAAATGAGAGGAATGACCACTTGGATTTCTAATGCAACCCTTAAAGAGCCTGAGAATTTCTCTTGGCCTCAGGAGCACCAGGTTCTGGGGTAGCATTTTCCAGAGAGCAGAGGAAACAGAAGAGGCAACCAAGAGACCACTCTGGTTTTCACTGGTTTGTTTACCTATGACAACTACAGGGATTAGAATAAGTTTCTTGTAAAGGATGTTGTGCCACTGTTGAAGCCATTTCAAAGCTCACTGGGATCTTTGTGGAGAGTGACTTTCTAGAGATAGAGCAGATGGAATCAATCTGGCTGAGACCTATTCCTGGAGGTGAGGAAGATGACAGAAATAGAGGAATTTTAAGAGCTAGGTGCAGTGGTTCACGACTCTAGTCCCAGCTACTCAGGAGACTGAGGTGGGAAGATCTCTTGAGTTTATGAGTTTGAAGCCATGATGAGCTATGATTCTGCTATTGTACTCCAGCCTGGCTGCCAGAGTGAGACCCCATTTCTTAAAAGAAAAAAAAAAAAGGAAGAGAGAGAGAGAAAAACTTTGAAAGGTTCTTGAGAGGTACAGCTCCTGAGAGTTGTCACTTTGAGAACAATTGATGAGGGAAGCTACCGCAGCCCCGGATGTAGAGTTATTTATTCTACCACTGGAGATTCCTAATGAACAGAATTGTCTCTGCCATTGCAACATGAGCTCCCTTTAATTGGGTGCTCATCAAAAATCTTTTGATTTTCTTTCTTACTGCAAAGAGGTATTATAATTTCCCACCTGGCAATCTATAGATGTTAGAAGGTGAGATGAGAACTATTGAACAATTTATTCATACGACCCTTATATTTTTATGTGGTTCTCAGAGTGCCATTGAAGTTTGTGAACTTTGAAAAAAGGCCTTATCTCAACAGGTGACCCTTGAAAAACATGGGGGTTGATGCACACATTCTTTATATAGTAAAAAACTACATGTGATGTTTGACTTCCCCAAAACTCAACTACCAGTAGCTTACCGTTGACTGGGAGTCTTACTGATAGCATAAACAGTCAATTAACACATATTTCATATGTCATGTTCATTATAGCTTATTGTATACTATGTTCTTACAATAAATTAAGCTGTAGAAAAGAAAATGTTATTAAGAGAATCTCAAGGAAAAGAAAATATATTTACTATTCATTAAATGGAAGTGGATCATCATAAAATTCTTCATCCTTGTCATCTTCACCTTGAGTAGGCTGAGGAGTGGGAGGAAAATAAGGGGCTGGTCAAAAACAGCATGGTACTGGTACCAAAACAGATATATAGACCAATGGAACAGAACAGAGGCCTCAGAAATAACACCACACATCTACAACCATCTGATCTTTGTCAAACTTGACACAAACAAGCAATGGGGAAGGATTCCCTATTTAATAAATGGTGTCGGGAAAACTGGCTAGCCATATGCAGAAACTAAAACTGGACCCCTTTCTTACACCTTATACAAAAATCAACTCAAGATGGATTAAAGACTTAAGCATAAGACCTAAAACTGTAAAAATCCTAGAAGAAAACCTGGGCAATACCATTCAGGACATAGGCATGGGCAAAGACTTCATGTCTAAAACACCAAAAGCAATGGCAACAAAAGCCAAAAGTGACAAATGGGATCTAATTAAACTAAAGAGCTTCTGCACAGCGAAAGAAACTATCATCAGAGTGAACAGGCAACCTACAGAATGGGAGAAAATTTTTACAATCTATCCATCTGACAAAGGGCAAATACCCAGAATCTACAAAGAACTTAAACAAATTTACAAGAAACAACAACAGCAACAGCAAAAAACATCAAAAAGTGGGCAAAGGTTATGAACCGACGCTTCTCAAAAGAAGACATTTATGCAGCCAACAAACATGAAAAATGCTCATCATCACTGGTCATTAGAGAAATGCAAATCAAAACCACAAGGAGATACCATCTCACACCAGTTAGAATGGCGGTCATTAAAAAGTCAGGAAACAACAGATGCTGGAGAGGATGTGGAGAAATAGGAACGCTTTTACACTGTTGGTGGGACTGTAAACTAGTTCAACCATTGTGGAAGACAGTGTGGCAATTCCTCAAGGATTTAGAACTAGGAATACCATTTGACCCAGCCATCCCATTACTGGGTATATACCCAAAGGATTATAAATCATGCTACTATAAAGACACATGTACACGTATGTTTATTGCAGCACTATTCACAATAGCAAAGACTTGGAACCAACCCAAATGTCCATCAATGATAGTCTGGATAAAGAAAATGTGGCACATATACACCATGGAATACTATGCAGCCATAAAAGAGGATGAGTTCATGTCCTTTGCAGGGATATGGATGAAGCTGGAAACTATCATTCTGAGCAAACTATCACAAGAGCAGAAAACCAAACACCACATATTCTCACTCATAAGTGGAGTGGAACAATGAGAACACATGGATGGACACAGGGCGGGGAACATCACACACCGGGGCCTGTCTGGGGGTGGGGGGCTAGGAGAGGGAGAGCATTAGGAGAAATACCTAATGTAGATGACAGGTTGATGAGTGCAGCAAACCACCATGGCATTTCTATACCTATGTAACAAAACCACACATTCTGTACGTGTACCCCAGAACTTAAAGTATAACAAAAAAAGAAGGGGTTGGTCTTGCTGTCTCAGGGGTGGCAGAGGCATAAACAAATCTGTGTATAAGTGGACCCTTGCAGTTCAAATCTGTGTTGTCGAAGGTCACCTGCATAATATGCCGACTCTATAAAGTTCAAAAACTAGCAAAACCAATCTGTGGTGATAATGATCCGACGAGTGGATACACTTAGGTGTATGGACTGGGAAGAGGTGTGTGGAAGCCTTCTTTCTGGGGTGGCAGAAATCTATCATCTTCTGGGTGGCAATGTATGTGTATGTAAAAGGGTATGCACGTATGTAAGAATTCATCAAGTGCTTTGCTAGCTATGTTATACCACAATTTAAAAATCTCTTAAAAAGGTGGTATTTAGGGAAAGGGAGCCACTCCACATACAGACATTGATCCTTGATGGATCAGTTGTTTATACAGGATGATGACCACCTAGGACCTATGGAAATCAGAACCGGAAAATGAGAACTCTGCTTCCTTTGTTGATGGTGTTGTTCCATTAGTCTTGACATTAGTCTTGAATAGTGAGATAACTCTTAAACATAATCCCATTTGTTTTGGATATCTACATGTTTGTAAATGGAAGCACATCTTATTTTCCCTTTTAAAATAAATGCTGCCTTTCTTAACTTCCTGGAAATTACACTTACTGATTTAGGTGCTGCTTTATTGCAACATAATTTCTGAAGAGCATATGCTTAAAGAAAACCACAGTTTTGGGCTATTTAAGTAAAAAAAAAAAAAAAAAAACTATGACCATGGTAAAAATAATCAGGACTTTGTATATGCTATACCATTCCTTGCCATTATTTTACTACTTATTTGTTTTCCCCCAAAAGATGACAAAGGAGGCAGAAGAATAGTGAAGCACAGTTGGTTCATTTAAAAGTTTTATCTATGTTAATTGCAAGTTTTTATGAAAGAAGCAGCTTGAACAAAGGTTTGAGGGGTTTTCCCTATTTATATTTCCATGGTTTAATTCCAAATAGTCCAACCAAATTATTGTTGTATACCGTTATTTTTTTTTTACTAAAAAGTTATTTTTTAACTTTTTTTTTCTTAAAGACAGGGTCTCCCTCTGCCATCCTGGCTGGAGTGCAGTGGTGCAATTCTAGCTCACTGCAACCTTGAACTCCTGGACTGAAGCAATCATCCTGCTACAGGCGCACACTACCATGCCCAGTTAATTATTTATTTTTGTGTAGAGAACTCAGATGAGGACTCTGGAACTGGAGGTGAAGAGCATTTCAGGGGTTGGGAAGTAAGAAAAGGGAACTGGGCTGGGTGTGGTGGCTCAGTGCTTGGGGAGGCCGAGGCGGGCAGATGACTTGAGGCCGGGAGTTCAAGACTAGCCTGTCCAACATGGCAAAAACCTGTTTCTAATAAGTTAGTTGGGTGTGGTGACATGCACCTGTAATCCCAACTACTGAGGAGGCTGAGGCAGGAGAATCGCTTGAACCTGGAAGGCGTAGGCGTAGGCGCAGGCTGCAGTGGGTGGAGATGGTGCCATTGCATTCCAACTTGAATGACAGAGTGAGACTCCATCTCAAAAAAGGAAAGGGAAGCACACGGAAGAGGAAGAAAAGGAGAGTGTCCCAGGAAGGATGTTGCAGAGGAGGGACTCTTACTTTATTTCCAAAGCACGTAGAGATCATCTAATGTTTTGAGGCTATTCACTCCTCTTTGTTTTCTACTCTATTAGCACAAATAGTCTAGAGTTTAGCGGGAAGTGCTTTATTCCATTTGAAACATGATTGCATAACTTGCTCAGAGTTTTTCACATGCTGCTAAGGATAGCATAGGATATCAGTTATTCTTCAAAGTGAATTCAGAGTATGTCTTTAGGTTCAGAAGTATTCAGGCTATGAACCGGATGCATATTTTATCCTACACATTAAAAGTGGCCTTTATTCAGGTAAGCTTCCTTAAGTGAGGTTTTAGGGGAAACTGAGTGCCCCAGGGGTTAATATTCAGTTCCTCATTTTCTAAGACACTTCCCCACTTTCTAAGACATTAATTTGCTGCTTGAGTTGCCATTACATTTGTTTCTAGGTTTTTTCTATATGTATGAATTCCTTATTCTTAAAATCAACCTTCACGAATACACCCATGTAAAGCAAATAATTTCCCTGATAATAACTAGTCAGCTAGATGGGTTATACTATTGAGTTACATGTGCATTTATCTTGTTTTACAAATTACCATTAGACAAGAAAAAAATCAATTATTACAGAGATATTTTAATGAGCTGTCTTAAAAATACACTTCTTGTTGAAGTAAAATATCCAAAATGAAATGAATGTTAATTATAAGTGTACAGCTTGATGAATTATTACAAAATGAATATACCTTTCTTTACTGCATCTAGAGCAAGAAACAGAATATTACTGGCATGTAAGTGATTTTTTCAGATACCACTATACAGGAGATCTTATTAATTTTAAAATAATCAAAAAAGCCACTGGCTTTCCCTCTGAAGCAAAGGTAGCTCCCTATGCAGATAAACAATGTTTCAATGAAAATCTAAGTGGATCCTGTCTTTTACAAAGAAGCTGTGTCTAGCCTGGTATTCTGCCAGGATGATCAAGATAGCTTACATACATTCTAATCAGTGTATCATGTGAAAAATGGGATCTTATCATGCTTCTTGGAAGCTTTAGGTTTTCTTTGTAATTTTAATATCCCTTTGCAAGAGCTGACTTCCAGGCAAGATCTCTGTGCTGAAATTCCCATATGTTATGTATGTTTACTTGCTTTTCCACTAGATACCTTAACATTTCAGTCATGATTATTTTAAAGTTTCATTCTGGTGAAACCAGGTTGTCTCTGCATCTGGTTCTATTGATGGCTTTATTTCTTCACAATGAGCTGGGTTTTCCTTGCCCTTTTTTTTTTTTTTTTTTTTTTTTTTTTGCATACCTGAAAATACATGATTGAATACTGGCTATTGTGTGGAAAAGAACAGAAGAGACTGAGCCATACATTATTGATATCCAAAAGTGGACACACATCTTTTTGTGTCAGGCCATTAGTGGAAGGTTGAGTCAGTCTAGCTGGGAATTGATTTAGGTTTGAGTGTGTTTGACTGCCTCTTCTAACTTTCCTCCAGCAGCAATTGACCTTTGCCTGTATCCTGGAGGCAGGGCACTTCCTATATTGTCCTCAAAGTGAGCTGAAGTTTATCCTACTCCTAACCCAGAAGCAACCGATTTTTTTTTCCTTGGCCCTAGGTTGACGGAGTTTGCTGTCCAGTGACTTAAGACTTTTGCTTTCTGTAAGGGTTGAGAAAGTAGGCAGGGCTTTATGCCTGTCCCCAGCAGCAACTATCTGATCACCTCCCACAAGCTTATGTTGCCTTGAGAGGCTCTTTCTGTCTCTTGCCCTGCCCCAGTTCCTCTCATGAGCTACTTAGTGGAGGCTCAGGGGTAAGAACTTGAGCCCGAGTGCAAGCTTCCCTGTGCCTGAGACATCCACCTATTCCAAATTGACACGTTACTCTATATTTTGCCTTTAAGGATTCATTTAAAATGTAGCTGATTCCTTGTTACTCATTGGTATGGATGCCTCCTTTTTCATTCATCCTCTGCTAAAGGTAAAGCAGACGGTGTGTTTCATATTAACTCAGGAGTGCTTGGCACTTGAATTCAGTTTGTTTGCCTTTCAACAACCTCAGCTCTTGATGGGCTCAATAAATAACATAATTCTGTTGACTGTCCAGCTTTCTCTTGTAATTTTCTCTTGGGTCTTTCTGCATCCTAAGCAGAAGTAGAATTTGGTTGTAGGTTTTAAGTAGTGTTAACTATGTATTTGTTTTTGGTGCTGGTAAAAAGACCAGAGAAGAAGAGGTAAATATTATTACCTATCTGAGATCATTCCTTTTCAGTAGCCATGGCCCCCCCAGGGTTGCAGGTTAGCCTAGTGAAGATAGAAAAGGAAGATAGGAAGAAAGGAGATGTTATTGATATTTTGGTAATTGTTTATAAAAGGAGAGCAGCAGACAGAGTGACATCTCCAGCTCAGTTCAACAAGTAAACTTTTACTGGATAAGTTTTTCTAGGATACTATCCTGTCTGTATCATAATATCGTCTCTCTGTTTCTTATAGCCTGTGCCTGTCATTATAAAAACCTACATCTCAGAACAAGAGGGTAGTGGGGAACATTTGATGCTTCCCTTCTTGAATCCTATCCAGTGCCTCTTTCACCTTCTTGTTCTCCTCCTCCTCCTCCTTCTTCCTCCTCCTCCTCCTCTTTCTTCTTCTTCTCCTCCTTCCTCTTCCTCCTCCTCTTCTTCCCTGTCTTCTTCCTCTCCTCCTCCTCCTCATTCTTCTTCTTCTTCCTCTTCTCCTCCTCCTTTCTTCCCCTTCTTCTTTTTCTCCATCTCCTTCTCCTTCTTCTTTTTTTGAGACAGGGTCTTGCTATGTCGCCCAAGCTGAAGTGCAGTGGTGTGATCATGGTTCACTGCAGCCTTGACCTCCCAGGCTTAAGCAGTCCTCCCACCTCAGCTTCCCAAGTACCTGGGACTGCAGGTGTGTGCCACCATGCTGGGCTGATTTTTCAGAAATGTTTTGTAGAGACGGGGCCTCCTTGTGTTGCCTAGGCTGGTCTCGAACTCCTGAACTTAAGTGATCTTCCTGCCTTGGCCTCCCAAAGTGTTGAGATTACAGGCGTGACCACTGCATCTGGCCACCTCTGTCTTCTTACAGGCTCTGACATTTTGTGATAACAAGACTTGCCAGTCAGCATTTTACCATCCCTGCTTCCACTCCCATCTACCCCCATGAATCTAGCAGTTCACAACACTTGGCACCAGCATCAAAATAAGATACTTCCTCAAGTTTCATAGAAAGGGGAAAATCAAGAAGAACTGAACCTTAATGTAATGAAAGACAGAAGAAAAGCCTCATGGTAAATTAGGGTGCTGCTCATGTGAGAACCTAGATTTTAAAAAGGAGATTAAGGGCAATTTAGAAAATGATATCTTTGATAAAGATCAGGATACAAAAAGTAGCTGAATGCAAATTAAATGGATGAAGAGTATTTGGGATATCCATTCTGTTAAAATCAAGATGTGATACACCTTTTGTTTTAAAGTCAAGAGAAAAATTGTCCAAGGCTGCCTGTCTGAAGACTTCTGCCCCTGCAGAGACCAGTAAAGATAATCCAGCCATCTGATTATCCCTCTGTTTATGCTTGCCCAAAATAAGCAAAATGAGGACTTTTCCTATGAATCCTGAGACATCAGTTATTTTATTTTAGTACTAAAGTGCCCCACTGGAGTTGTTTGATGTTTTGGAAGGGCAAATTTGTAGACAAAGAAGAACCTTTGAAGTATTTGAAAAAGGGAAGTGATGGGATTGAATTTTCATTTTGAAAAATATACTCTGAAACAAAACGGAGAAGGGACTGAAAGCATTGCCTGGTTAGGAAGCTAATGCTATAATTTAGCAAAAGAAGATGAAGGTCACAACTAAGGCTGGGTCAGTGGGGATGCAGAAGGTGAGATAGAAGCAAGGATAGTCAGGGGGCAAGGATGGGAGACAGAGTTCGATAGTGTTGGTGAGTGCGGGAGAGGGGTGAGTGGAGGATGATGTTCAAATTTCTGACTCAGGTGACTTGTTAATGTTCAGGTAGTGATGTCCGTTAATTAGTTGAAAGTAGTTTGCAGAATTCAGGAGAGAAGATTGGGTTGACAATAGTCATTAAATTATAGGTGACAGAAGACAGGTGAAGCCTTGAATCAATGCCATTGCCCCCATTGATTAGTTGGGGTTCTTGGTTGAAAGCAACAGACATTCAATGTTTTCATCATAGGCAAAAAAATAAATTTCTGGAAGTAACTAAAAATTCACAGAAACAATAGGAGAATAGATGGCCAGACCTAAAAAGTGGGCATGATGTGGGGGCCCCAGATACTAGCAAGCAGAGAATACAATAAAGCTCATCCCTCAAAAGAAAGCCTGCAGCTGTGAAAGCTAGTTTTCAATTTGTCCCTCTGTCTTCATTGTACTGGCTTAAGATTTACAGGAATCTGATTGGCTGAACCCGGGTTATATGGTCTTTCTGTGGCTCTCCTAGGAGGTAGAATGTTGAAGAATCATATACCCTTGGCTTAGGAAGCTGCAGTGAGAGGCAACCTAAGAATATTGCCTTCTGACGTTGTACACAGTGGAAATTTCCCTTCAAATGGATTTTGGGATTCTAATATCAAAGGGATGGATGCTAGAGAACAACACAAGGGTCATTATACCTAAGGAAAAAGGTAATTATACCTAAGGTCAGTGAGAAGACGAAGAGCTAACAATGGATGGACAGATGGATGGATAGATGGATGGATGGATGGATGGAAGGATGGAGGGATGGATTGGTGGGTGGATGGATGGATGGATGGATGGATGAATGGATGGATGGATGGATGGATGAATGGAAGTATAGGTGGATGGATGGAAAGATGGGTGGATGGATAGACACAGAGGAACTAGTCTAGGGAACTGAATGATCGGAAAGGAAAGCAAATACAAGAAATTGAGTCATAGAAGTGAGGAAAGGAAAAACTTATCAGAAAGCAGTATTGGTTAACAATGTCAAACTGCAACACTGCAGTCAAGGAAGATGAGGACTAAAAAGCATCCGTTCGGCTTAACTATTAGTAGATTACTGGGTCCCTAAGCACCCAGTCTCCATTATCCATCATAGGGTTTGGAACTGCCAGCATATCCATTCTTCCCAATCCTTGTTATGATGCTTCTGGTTCTTTCAGGTTGCCAAGATCTGCAAGTGGTAGTCAGCTCTTAGAACACTAACTTAAATAAATAAATACCACTTCTTGTCTAATTGACATAGATACTGGTATAGTTAAGTATTGTTGGCCAGGTGCAGTGGCTTACTCCTGTAATCCCAGTACTTTGGGAGGCCTGGGCAAGTGGATCTCTTGAGGCCAAGAGTTCAAGACCAGCCTGGGCAACAAAACAACACCCTGTCTGTGCAAAAAAAATTTAAAAAATTGGTTGGGTATGGAAGCATGTGCCTGTAGTCCCAGCTACTCAGGAGCCTGAGGTGAGAGGATCACTTGAGCCCAGGAGATTGAGGCTGCAGTGAGCTGCAATGGTGCCACTCCACTCCAGCCTGGGTGACAGAGCAATATCCTGTCTCCGAAAAGAAAAAAAATTGAAAACATTCCTCTTGTAAAGAAGAGGCTAAATCTCAGCTTATATTAGAACTGTGTTCTTTACATGATTATGAACGGGTGTGTTCCAGAGAGTTGAGAAGAGGCTAAATCTCAGCTTATATTAGAGCTGTGTTCTTTACATGATTATGAACGGCTGTGTTCCAGAGAGTTGAGAAGAGTCGTTGCTATAGCTGAGAGATGTCAGAGTGCCTTAACCATGGACAGTGCTGATCCCTGCTCCTGGCACTTATGGGCTCACTTGGGGAAGAACCACTTACAGAAGTCAGCGTGAAGCCTGTTTAGGAGAATGGTTCACTTAAGCTTTCCTGGGACTGAACATGTCCTGAATCAAGGCAGCACACAACTTCAAAGAGGATGGAGCCTGAGAAACTATGGAAACCATTAAAAATTCAAAGATCAAAGGTCACAGTAGGTCCTTTATTCCATCTTTTAAGACTTTTTTCTCCTTGTCAAATTATATTAAACTTAATAATACACACAATAAATAACATCCAATAATTACTCCTGCTCAGTTTTCTAAAACCACTCCCTAGAGGTGACCACTATTTATATATTGGGATGAGCCTAATTAATTTTATTATGGGCATCCACACTCAGTCACATACATTCACACATGCAGTTTTTGCTAGAATGGGATCATAATCTGCACTTTGTTCTGCGGTTTGCCTTTTTCACTTAATCTATGTATGCATATATTATTATGTATGCACACACACACATATAAAATATTGTTGATGTCTTTCAGTGCTGGTACCTCTCAATCACAGAGGAAAAAAAGCAGCATATGAATATTGAACTTATTTCTATTTAAGTATTTGGGTTTTAGAGGAAGAGATCCAGAAAGAGGCCAAGGGATACAGACACACACACACACACACAGAGAGAGAGAGAGAGAGAGAGAGAGATAGGAATAAAACAATTGAAGTGGTTCTGCAGCACCTGCTTGCCATTCTGCTCCATCTGCTCTTTCCTTAGTAGGTCTCAATCCCTGCCTAACTCTGCGCAAAGTATGTGCACTTTGCCACAATCAACATGATTCTCCCATTCAAAGATAGATTTCTAAGCAAGGTTCCTAAACAGAAGCCAATCCCTTCATTTGTTACTCACCTGACAATACAGCAGTAAGGTATAATTTTGACCGAAGTAAACCTAACTCTCAAATAAGATATATTTCCTTGTGCTCCTCTATTTGCATTATGCTGTCATTTATTTAAGTCTTTCCCTATTGAGAGACAATGAGATTGTTTCCAGTTTTTCACTGTTGCTAAAAATTTCTGCACTGACTAGCCTTATGCATTCCTTGTGTAGATTTCTCTTTGGTTTTCTGTGTGATGGATTTTTAGACATGCAATTACTGGGTCAAAGAGAATGCACATTAATATTATTGATAAGATACTATTACTACAAAATGTCTTTCAAAAAGGGTATACTGATTTACAACACTCACCCACTGCCCGTGAAGATACCTACCTACTTCCTCATGTAGTGGATAGGCCATAAACTTATTTTTCATTATTTTTCCCCAGTTGTCACCACTAAGAATCCCTTGACTGACTGCTGCATCGTGCTTGCATTTAGTGTAGGCAGTTGGAACAGTAACGGAAATGAACTGCTGTCTTTCCACACACCGTATATGGTTATAACTAAGGTGCCGAGTCTCTGTGAGCATGCCTTCCTGCCTTCCTCTCATTTTTGTAACTATGGTATTTCCACTTCTCAGTCATTCTACTGGTATTTCAGTTACTTTTCATAGCACATTAAGACCCTTTTCTAGATACCCAATTTCTCTGAGCTGATTTAACCTTGCATTATAACATTTTACTGGAATAAGTGTACAGATTTATCACCTTGTAACTGAATTTTCTAGGATGCAGTAAGGGATATGTCTTTAAGGCTACTATATAACAATTGTCACTAAATATTTACTGATTTCATGTGAATCTCTCGCATTAGAACAAACACAGTTAGAGGAACCTCCAGGAAGGCAGGGGTCATCTTGCTGTGCACTATGGTACCTGGGCGTCTAAAACAGTGGCTGATACACAGTTTGTGCCCAGAACACATTTGTGAAGTAAATTAACCAGTTAATTAAAGTTTTGTGGGGTTCAAAAAACCAATTATACCAAACTGAAACACACAAATGATTGTCATAACTCCCCGATGATCAGGGAACTCTGTACCTAATGACACCAATCCTGCAATTGCTCAGAGCATTTATATATTGCACCAAAAAAATAGTTTTCATTTGATTATCCCTGGGGTGGAAAATCACTAACCTTTAGGACTAGATTTTTTAACAGCTTTATTGAGATATGGTTCATATACAGAAAACTGCACCCATTTAATGTACACTATCTGATGAGTCTGAATGTATGCGTACACCCATGGAACCATCACCAATTAAGGTAATAGACATATTCATCATCTCAAAAGTTTCCTTGTGCCTCTTGGGGTTGTTTTTTGTTTTTTTGTTTTTTTTTTTTTTTTTTAGATGGAGTCTCACTCTGTCTCCAGGCTGGAGTTCAGTGGCACGATCTCGGATCACTGCAACCTCCACCTCCCAGGTTGAAGCGATTCTCCTGCCTCAGCCTCCCAAGTAGCCGGGATTACAGGTGCCCGCCACCACACCCAGCTAATTTTTTGTATTTTTTAGCAGAGACGGGGTTTCACTATGTTGGCCAGGCTGGTCTCGAACTCCTGACCTTGTGAGCCGCCCGCCTCAGCCTCCCAAAGTGCTGGGATTACAGGTGTGAGCCACCGTGCCCGGCATACAGCCTCTTTTAAAGAAAGACACTGAGCTTGTGACAAAATAGGGAATGCCAGAAAGGGGGAGGGGGAGAGGCCAAATGCCTCTTGGGGTTTTTGATGTTGTTTTGTGTGACCTGTGATATGAGCACTTAATATGACATATAACCTTTATTCATTTATTTATTTTATTTATTTATTTTGAGACAGGGTTTTGCTCTGTCACCTAGGCTAGAGTGCGATGGCACAATCATGGCTCACTGCAGCCTTGACCTCCTGGGCTCAAATAATTCAGCCTCCCAAATAGATGAGGCTACAGGTGTGCTGCCAGCACACCTGACTAATTATTGTAATTTTTGTAGAGATAGAGTTTCACCATATTGCCCAAGCTGGTCTCAAACTCCCAGGCTCAAGCAATCTGCCCGCCTTGGCCTCCAAAGTGTTAGGACTACAGACATGAGCCGCTGAGCCCAGACAACATCTACCCTTTTAACAAATGTTTAAGTGCAAATGCAGTACTCTTAACTCTAGGCTCTATGTTGTACAGCAGATCTAGAACTTACTCATCTTGCATGACTGGAGCTTTAATGACTGAAACCCATTGAATAACAACTCTCCATTTCTCCCTCTCCCCAGCCCCTGGCAACCACCATTCTACTCTCTGCTTCTGTAAATATGACTATTTTAGACTCCTCTTATAAGTGGAATCATGCAGTATTTGTCGTTTTATGACTGGCTTACTTCACTTAGCGTAATGTCCTCCAGATTCATTCATGCTGTTGCAAATGACAGGATTTCCTGTTGTTCTCAATACCCAAGATATGAAACCAACCCAGTGTTCATTGACAAATGAATGGAGGCTAGATTTTATTGTAGGAAATAGCCAAACATCATTTCCAGGGTAATTCTGGTGATGAAAATGGTGATCACAATGGATAACGCTCTGTGACATTCATTTCCTATGAAACAAGGTGATTTACCTTATTTGGCTTATAAGCTAATTCAAAGAGTGGTCTATAGGTGTCCATCAATTATCAGTAATCCAAAGGGAATTTGGTAATTTTCTGCAGGGAAAGTGGTGAAATAATCTTGTTCACAGATATTTCCCTAATTTTAAAGTAAGATTCCACAATTTTGTTCTTTATAGCTCAGTCAATACACAAATCATGTTTTATTAACAAGATGCAAGTAGCTTTGCCCAATATGTTTATGTATCATGTTCCAGTTATTACATCTACTAAGTTTACACTTTTCATTGTTTCTGTTGTGTGATATTACATTCCTGGTATAAGAAATGGATGAGTGTTGCAAATTTGATTCATCAAAGTGTAGGCACAGGAATAAAAGGGTAATAAAAATATTTCGGTCTAGAACAACCCATTGAATTTAAAAATGCAAAGGACTCCAGTGTAAATATGGAATAAATCCATATGGGCTTGGCTATATATATCTGGTAATGTGATCACTTTGAATAAGGAAATGAAAGGAAAGGTGTAAAAAGATAAACCTTGATGAAGATGTTTGAAATGGAAAGTTATTGGATAACACATCCATTTGCCTGTAGCCACAAGTGTGTTGTGATGCAACTTTATCAAATATTGAGGTTTAAGGAAATAATCAGCTTTAATTTTTTATTTTTATTCCTTCATTCTTCTTTGAGGTTTCCTTACATGGAAATTGAATAACCTGCTCCTGAATGACTTTTGGGGAAAAAATGGAATTAAGGCAGAAATCAAGAAGTTCTTTGAAACTAATGAGGACAAAGATACAACGTACCAGAATCTCTGGGACACAGCTAAGTCAGTGTTAAGAGGGAAATTTATAGCACTAAATGCCCTATCCAAAAGCTAGAAAGATCTCAATTTAACAACCTAACCTCATAACTAAAAGAACTAGAAAGCCAAAAGAAAACCAACCTGAAAGCTAGCAGAAGATAAGAAATAACCAAAATCAGAGCTGAACTGAAGGAGATTGAGACACAAAAAAACATCCAGTAGATCAACAAATCCAGGAGTTGTTTTTTTGAAAAAAGTAATAAAATAGACTGCTAGCTGTAATGTTTTAAAGCCTTCTCAGTTGAACACTTGCTTCATTTATTTCTAAATTTTATGGTTTAATATATATATGTATATAAGGCTGTCAGTACCAGTTTAATTGTATTCCAAGTTTTGATGTGTAGTGCTTGTATATGCATACAATTCTCAATATTTTCTAGTCATTTTAGTTTTCAGTTTAGTTTTAGTTTCTGGGTCAAAGCTTCTACATCTAGTAGAGGGTGTGACAACTGCAGCTCATATCCATCGAAGGTGCAGCTCGGGAGTTCCGGTACCTCTGGATTGACTGTGTTTTTACCCATTGGCTGAGGCAGACATCCAAAGCCTGTTTTGGTCAGTTTCATAGAAAGCACACTGACTTCTAGTAAACCAGGTATTTCTAGAGGAACACAGGATAAATGTTTCTGGTATGAAAGGGTTGGATTTTGTTGCTAACAGCAGAGGAGAAACAAAAAGCTATAGAAGAATTTAAAGTGCCCTGCTTGTTGCAGAAACTGGTACAAGTCTATTGCCAAGAAGCTTGTAAAACCAGCTGCAAAGTTAATGATAAACGATGCTCTTACGATTGTAGAGGGGACGGAAGGGACCATGGCAACATTCCTTAGTTAAATGACACCGATGGAACCTGCATGATATCTGTAGCATATAATTGGAAGAACAATTGCTATTGGTTGTGCATCCTAGGAGGTATTTTGTTTTGCACTTGGATGAAACCACTGGTGTGCAAAGTGTGAATTAGTATACCTGTGAGCATATATGAGAGGCTAAGGCTTGGTGGATTTTTGTTGTTCTGTTCATAATTGAAAATCCATACAAGGAGAAGAGAATTTTCATTCGGTTAGTGATCATGTTGTGAGCCCTGACGTCAACCAGAAAAGGTGATTCAAAATCAATATTGATGGAGCACCAGTGAAATGTACAAGCAGAAAGGGCACTGCTATTTGAATAAAAGCCTTTGCTCCTGAAGGCCAGGCGGCATGCAGCCTCACTTACAGAGCACAGTTGGAAGTCCCCAGTATGCCTCCAATTGTAATTCAGCACTAAGGAAATAGTGGAAATTATTAATTCAGCAACATTATAACAATAAGTGTACTTCTTTTCAGAGGATTTTTAAGAAGCAATAAGCTGCAAGTACAAAACTGTTCTTCCACAAGGATGTGTCTGGTTATTGAAGGAAAGATGTTCTGTAATGGGGATGAAATGAAATGTTTCTTCATGGTATCCACAGCATCTGGAAAAGGTTCCTATGATTTTGAGCAAATTGTTCAGGTCACATATCTCAGGGATGTTGATACAGTTTGGCTGTGTCCTCACCCAGATCTCATCTTGAGTTATAATAATCCCCATGTGTCAAAGGCAGAGCCAGGTGGAGATAATTGAATCATGGGGGCGGTTTCCCCCATACTGTTCTTGTGGTAATGAGTAAGTCTCACGAGATCTGATGGTTTTATAAACAGGAGTTCCCCTGCACAGGCTCTCTGGCCTGCTGCCACATAAGATGTGACTTTGCTTCTCATTCACCTTCGACCATGATTGTGAGGCCTCCCCAGCCATGTGTGACTGTGAGTCAATTAAACCTCAGCAATCTCAGGTATGTCTTTATTAGCACAGTGAGAACAGACTAATACAGATACATTCAATGTTTTAAATAGCCAAAAGCTACCACTTTGGGGCCAAACTATGATAACTTTTAAAGTGGAAGATAGACTTTCAGAACTTCTTAAAGAGACCAAGCTGGTACATACAATTTGATTGCTAAATATTTGATTCTTTCCCAGTAGTCACTGGTTTTCTTTAATAGTTGAAGTAAGAAATTTTTGACTGTACAAATACTGCAACTGACCAGGAAGAAATACTTGACAGAGCCCAGTGCGGAAAAGAGTGCTGGAGCAGTCACGGTGTACAACTGCTCAAGCTTTAGCACTTGAAGGGCACTGAAGATGCTGTTGATGTAGCATCTACTGAAGCAAAGATTTCTTCAACAAGATTCTTTTATCTCCCCACAAATTCAGGATACATGTTTCATCTGAATATCCAGAACTCAGACAAAGCCAGCCAACACTGGCTCATGTTTCAAATGGCCTATAATTTTGTTTGGACTTACTAATAGAATACAAATAAAAATTAAGAAAAGATATCGAATGAATATAATCCAAGCTCTCTGTCTTGGAACCAGATATACTTGTGAACAGTTGCAAATTATCCCATTGCTGTGAAACAATTACTATTGTCATTTATAATGTTTTCTTATTAAATTTTTTTCTTATTTAAATTTTCTTATTTAAATTTTTTGGATGAACTTTTAAAGACGATTTATGTAAGACCAGTGGTGTACGTGCCAATGCTTGTTATGGTCAGTGGATGTTGAGAATTTGGAAAGCACTGCTCTGAGGCCCTTCATGGAGGAGAAACGTGTGTTGGACAATGGTAACCACTGAACTGACTGTGCGTGCACCTGAGGTGAAATGGGCACTGCATTTAGAAGTGCAAGTTCATGTGTAAATGGTGAAGATGACTGAGGAAACAGAGCAGGAGAACCTGTGTTCTAGTCATTTCTGCCACTGCCTGGCAGACAGGAATGTCACCTAGGAATGTGTGTGTGACCCAGGAATGTCACTCATCCCTTCTGGTCTCAATTTTACCATCTGTGAAATGGGAGAGCTGGATTAAATTTTGGGCAAAATATTCAAATGTCATTGATAGATAAGCAAGTAAAATAAATGACTGAAGTGGGTCATTTGGGAGCAGTGGGTCACCTGCTTCTGCCATCTGTTACCATGGATAGATCTTGGACTTTTTCAAGAGAAACTTAAAATTAGGATTTCTGGGTAAAAACTCCTAAATTTTAATATTTGCAACTAATTCAAGTTTTTAAAAGCTAGTTTAAAAAACCCACTGGGCTAAAAAGAATACTTCTGTGGGCTCAAGGCTACTTGAGATTCACCAACTTCTGATTTCTGATATATAATCCTAAAAATCTATGCCACATAGGGCATATGTCCATACTCCCACAGGGCATATGTCCATACTCCCTGAAACAGTAAGAGGGAGGAGAGAGAGAGAGAGAGAGAGGAAGAAAGAGAATGTGTGAATGTGTAGCAAGATGATTTATTCTTAAGGCTGAGAGCCAAAAAAAGAGAAGTCTTAGTGGGCATTATCAAAGTTTGTTCTTCCTCCAGCCCCATCTTCGATCCTGCTGGGACTCCCAGGAGGGATTTCCATGTCAGTCTCAGTGCTTTGCATTGAGGTCAGCGTCTTCTCAAGCGAAGGGCTCAAATGGGTACCACTACAGTTAAACCACAAGGCTAGATAATTAGGAAAAATTATCTAAAAAACAGGGCTGGAAACAGGCGTTTCTATGATAGACTTGCTTGCACCTCATATGGGAACCAGGATGATCTGAATTTTATCAAGCATCCCACAGGACATGTGTCCATACTCCCTGGGACAGTAAGAGGGAGGAGAGAGAGAGAGAGAGAGAAGAGAGAGGAGAGAGAGAATGTGTGAACGTGTAGCAAGATGATTTATTCTCAAGGCTGAGAGCCAAAAAAAGAGAAGTCTTAGTGGGCATTATCAAAGTTTGTTCTTCCTCCAGCCCCATCTTTGATCCTGCTGGGACTCCCAGGAGGGATTTCCATGTCAATCTCAGTGGTTTGTAATTGAGGTCAGTGTCTTCCCAAGTGAAGGGCTCAAATGGGTACCACTACAGTTAAACCACAAGGCTAGATAATTAGGAAAAATTATTTAAAAAAAAAAGAGGCTGGAAACAGGTGGAAAATTAGGTAAGGCATTTCTATGATAGACTTGCTTGCACCTCATGTGGGAACCAGGATGATCTGAATTTTATCAAGCATCCCACAGGGCATGTGTCCATACTCCCTGGAACGGTAAGAGGGAGGGGAGAGAGAGAGAGGGAGAGAGGGAGAGAGGGAGAGAGGGAGAGAGAGAGAGAGAGAGAGAGAGAGAATGTGTGAATGTGTAGCAAGATGATTTATCCTCAAGGCTGAGAGCCAAAAAAAGAGAAGTCTTAGTGGGCATTATCAAAGTTTGTTCTTCCTCCAGCCCCATCTTTGATCTTGCTGGGACTCCCAGGAGGGATTTCCATGTCAATCTCAGTGGTTTGCAATTGAGGTCAGCGTCTTCCCAAGCGAAGGGTTCAAGTGGGTACCACAACAGTTAAACCACAAGGCTAGATAATTAGGAAAAATTATTAAAAACAAGGCTGGAAACTGGTGGAAAGTTAGGTAAGGCGTTTCTTTTTTTTTTTTCTTTTTTTAATTTTTTATTATACTTTAAGTTTTAGGGTACATGTGCACATTGTGCAGGTTAGTTACATATGTATACATGAGCCATGCTGGTGTGCTGCACCCACTAACTCGTCATCTAGCATTAGGTATATCTCCCAATGCCATCCCTACCCCCTCCCCCGACCCCACAACAGTCCCCAGAGTGTGATATTCCCCTTCCTATGTCCATGTGATCTCATTGTTCAGTTCCCACCTATGAGTGAGAATATGCGGTGTTTGGTTTTTTGTTCTTGCGATAGTTTACTGAGAGGTAAGGCGTTTCTATGATAGACTTGCTTGCAACAATTCAAACAAGCCTGGCACAAGCATTTTCTAAGCTGGGAGGCTGTTTCTCCCTCACAGCCTTACAGGGGGCCAGGAAGAACTTGCTGAGCTGGCATGAGGACACACAGCTGGTGGTGGAACCAGCACTAGAGCCCCCAACCTCCCATTCCAGAGCTCCTTCCATCAGTAGTTCACACATAATCTCGTCTGAAAGTTCTGTCCATTCCATCATGTAGGATCATGCCCATGGGAGAACAAGCCCATGGATCACTGGGCTTGTTCTCCCGTAATCTCACATTCAGTCCTTGGAAGAGAGATGTCTGCCATTCTTCACACTCCTAACTTTTCCTCGAATGCCTCATTTTCTTTCCCTTTTCTCATGTCAGCCTCCACGTCACCTGAATTATATTAGTGGGGTCCTTGAGCACATGAAGCAAGTTAGCCAAGGCTCCTACATCCTTCCTGGTGTGCCAGGAGTGCTGGGCCTGATGATAGATAAGGCAAGTACTTTAAACATCGTGATGTTCACGGATAGTATTCCATGAGTGTAATGTCTAGAGGGAGAGGAAGACCAGTGAAAAACAGTATATTTGCTCAAGGAGCCAGGTGGGGCAATGTTATAGAAGAGGGAAAATGCAAAGATGGAGGGAATTAACCAAAAGTCAGTTCTGTTTCCAGCTGGGAGATCACCATGGCTGGTGGATGGATCAAGTGGCTAGTGAGAATTTCCCCAGGACCATGCTGTTTACAGAGCACTTGAGAAGCGTGCCGTCCAGAGAGACCTTAGCCCTTTTACAGCATTCACTGGGGCTTGTCATGTTAGGATCGCTGGGCAGGTTAATTAGTGTCGCTAGCAGCCCGAGTGAGGCTCTGACAGACTTGGATGTTTAGACCGTCTGCTGTACCGCTAAATTAAATGAGCACAGAGAACGTAAGACATCAGGGAACCCAAGCTAATGCTCTTGGTGGGGCAGCCCCAAAGCAGAATGTTAGCAAGAAGCCAAAGTGAGAGACCCAAAAGCCGTACTTCAGACCCTGGGCAGAGATGCCCTGGGCACAGCAAACAGCTAAGATGTTTGTTGCTGGTTAAGGCAGCCTCTAGTCAGGCCTGGTGGGGAACAGCCTATTTGTCCCCAGTTTTTTTCAGACACCTCTGCACACGAGGTGAGAAAACCTGTGGGCACCAGCACTTTTGGACACAAAGGACAGCCTTCTATTTCCATTGTATTGATTGGTTCTCAAAGAGAACACTCTCTGGAGGAAAAAGAGAAAATCAGGTATTTGGGAGGCTGAGGTGGGTGGATCACGAGGTCAGGAGATCGAAACCATCCTGGCTAACATGGTGAAACCCCGTCTCTACTAAAAATACAAAAAATTAGCCTGGCGTGGTGGCAGGTGCCTGTAGTCCCAGCTACTCGGGAGGCTGAGGCAGGAGAATGACATGGACCCATGAGGCGGAGCTTGCAGTGAGCCGAGATCACGCCACTGCACTCCAGCCTGGGTGACAGAGCAAGACTCTGTCTCAAAAAAAAAAAAAAAAAAAAAAAATGAAAATAAGGTAGAAAATGGTCAGCAAAGAAATGTTTCCTTCCTTCTTTCCTTCCTTCCTTCCTTCCTTCCTTCCTTTCTCCCTCCCCACTTCCTCCCTTCCTTCCTTCCTTTTTCCTTCCTTCCTTCCCTCCTTCACTCTTTCCTCCTTCTCCCCTGCTTCTTTCCTTCGTACCTCCTTCCTCTTTCCCTCCTCCCTCCATCCCTCCACCCTTTCTCCCTCCATATGTTGAGTGCCACCTCAAACCAAAAATGGCAGAGAAAAACAAATCAGAGAGACTAGGAAAAAAATCTAAAAGAACATCTCCTATCACACTTCATCCCTTTCCTTTGCTTTATTTTTTCTCATCAGAGTTTTAACTCCCTTGACATCTATATTTTTATTAATTTATCTGCTTGTTTTCTGTCTTCCCTCACTAACATGGAAACTTTTGTTGGTTTTTTTTCCCCCTGCAATATCCCTGCAATATCCCCAGTGTCTGACTTTAAGGTTTGACTGAACAAACCTTCTAGCTTTTAGAGTAACAAGCTCTGATGACAGTAACCAAAAGTAAAGAAATAGGAAAGATTTCTAATCAACACACTTCTCCCTGGACAGTTTGAGAAGGAAGGAGAAGTGGAGAGTGGGGTCCAATTTATTGGCCAGAAATGCTTTTCATGTCCAGCTTCATGCTCTATAATATATGATAACACGTCTCTTGGATCAAGTATGCCTGGACATGGTAAATCAGGGTTTTGAAAGAACATAGAGTCATGCACCATGTAACAATGTTTTGTTCCATGATGGACTGCATATGCAATGATGCTGCCATAAGATTATACTGAAGCTGAAACGTTTCTATCACCTAGTGACATCATAACTGTTGTAGCATGATTAGTTAGTGTAGCCTAAGTGTACAGTGTTTATAAAGTCTCCAGTAGTGTACAGTAATGTTCTAGGCCTTCACGTTCACCCACCACCCACTCACTGACTCACCCAGAGCAACTTCTAGTCCTGCAAGCTCCATTCATGGTAAGTGCCCTCTACAGGTGTACCTTTCTTTAAAAAAAAAATCCATTATACCATATTTTTTTCTGTACCTTTTCTTTGTTTAGATATGTTTAGATGCATAAATACTTTTGTGCTATAATTGCCTACAGCAGGGGTTCCCAACTCCTGGGCCATGGACCAGTTCATAGCCTGTTAGGAATGGGGGTGCACCAGCAGGAGCAGTATTTAACTAGGATGTCTCAGAGCTGACTCTTCTGTGTCAGTTTCTCCTGGGATATTTTGTAACCTTTCCACATGTAGATGATTCTTCTTCTTCTTTTTGTGTGTGTGTGTGTTTTGTTTTGTTTTTTTGTTTTGAGAGAGAGATGGGGTCTCACTATGTTGCCCAGGCTGATTCCTGGGCTCAAGTGATCCTCTCCCTTGGGCCTCCCAAAGTGCTGAGATTATAGGCATGAACCACCATGCCCAGCTATCAAGACTTCTTTTATGTCAAATATATTTTAAAATATTTACTTTGTTCATTATTTGAGTTTCTGTCCTCTGGGATTTCAATTATATATATGTTGGTTCTCCTTTGCCTGTCTTTCACATCTATCATTTTTTTCTCTAATCCCAATAACTTTTCCTATACTTTCTTTTCATTTTGCTTGATTTTTCATTTCTAACCTCTGTCATTTATGATGTCAGCAGTGGTTATTCTTCCTTCTGTTCTTACAATTTCGTTTTCTTTTTATGGTGCTTTTTTTTTCTTCTACTTCTTTCATGAACTTGAAGATATAGTTTCTTCAGAGATGTTCCTACTTCATTATGCTTTGTTAAATGCTTTGATCAATGGTCACAACTTTCATCTGCTCTGTGGGAACATTTTTTCTGTATTCTTTATCTGCCATTTGCTTTTACCATGACTTTCCTCCTTTTTTGACTACTTATCTTGGAAGCAGGTGACTTTCTCCTAGAACAATTATTTGTGGAAAGCTGGGGTTGAGGTGGGTGTGGGCTGTGCTCCAATATAGCTGGAAATTCCTTATAACCCAGGGATTTATGTTTAATTGTACCTAGATTTTATTTCTCCCCATCCATTGAAGATAAACTGTGGTTTTTCATAGGGCAAAGTCTCTTCCACACCATTGCTACAGAGATAGGCTTCTTCCTCCACACAGACTCCCACCTGTGTTTTGTCTGTGAGTCCTGTCTCTTTTTCTTCTTGCAACCAAATCACATCCAGTGTCTCCCACACACCACACCCCTGCTGTGGTGAACAAAACATTTAGGTTTTGCAGCTCAGGATATGCCTGTCAACTTTGAGAACCATGCTTTCTTCACTCTGTTTGTAACCCTTGGCATCTGGTTTCTCTCTCCTCTCCCTCACATGTGCACTGCTGTCCATTTACCATTGACACGGGTAGGCTTTCCACTCATTTTGGGAGTTGAGGATTTTAACTCTTAGTATCATCAAAAGATGGAATTCGCCCCCCTCCCCGCCCCACAATTCTCTTTGTTGCTTTGGGATGATTTCCAAAAAGATGAGGGAGAAAATATTGATTTTATTCCACCCTCTTTAAAATAGTAGTCTTCCCAAATGGAGGGCTCTGATCTTTAGCCTGTGAGAGATGGGTAGCCATTACAAACCTTTGAATAGTGAGACAATGTGAAAAAAGAGCTTGAGACTTAATATTGTGGTTGTATTGGGAAGAATGAGCTCGAAATAGGAAAAGACTAGAGCCTGGGAGATCAGCTGGAAACCTAAAATAACATTGAGTTGTGAGAATAATGGCCAATAATAGCCTCAAATAAGCTAATAATGATAGGACTGCAAAGAAAAGATACAAAAACATTAAGAATGAAAAAAATCAGTAATACTTGAAGGTATATTACATTTGATAGAGGAAAAAGAGTTAAGAGTGTTTTAAATTTTGAGCCTAAATGAGACATAATAAACGGGACTATGGAATTATAGCTGGGAATTCACTGAGGTTTGATATTTTTGATAAAATAAATGAGATTACCCTCTGAGAGTGAACTTAAAAGTCAACACATCAGTAATGATTGTGGGTCTGAACAGTTAGGTTAGAATGAGAGACCGGGAGACACTTTGTAAAGGTATTGCAAGTGCCCTTCAAATCACATCCCAGAGGACGGTGATCTTTGTCAACTCTCCGTCATAGCTCTGTTGGCACAGCCACCCTGTGGAGGAGATGGATGCACCACGCTGCCTTGGCTGATGGCATCTGTTTAGCAGGCAGCTGGCTCTTCAGGAAGAAGATTTAGGAGAGAAGTGGTCACCTGCACAGATACACGCACATCCATGAAGTGTCGCAGGGTAGAATGTACAGAGAGAAAATCAGTGACTAAGGCTGGATCCTTTAGGAACAATGACATAGAATGGGAGGGGAAAAAAGACCTGGGTAAGTCAAAGAGGCAGGAACAGTACTGGAAGGTGCAGCATCAAAAAGGAAAAGAAATGTGTAGACCATGGGAGCAACAGTAAGATGTGGCCCAGGCTGCATTTCTGAAAAGAGCACTTCCTGACAATCATGATAGGTAATAGGCCCATTTCACTTCTTCAGTGATGGGCCGCATCTGAACAGAGGTCCAAAACTAGAGCCTCTTTTTTTTTTTTTTTTGAGACGGAGTCTCGCTCTGTCATCCAGGCTGGAGTGCAGGGGCACAATCTCGGCTCACTGCAACCTCCACCTCCCGGGTTCAAGCTATTCTCCTGCCTCGGCCTCCCGAGTAGCTGGGACTACAGGCATGTGCCACCGCACCTGGGTAATTTTTTGTATTTTTAGTAGAGATGATATTTCGCCGTGTTAGCCAGGATGGTCTCCATCTCCTGACCTCGTGATCCGCCCACCTTGCCCTCCCAAAGTGCTGGGATTACAGGCGTGAGCCACTGCTCCCGGCCTAGAGCCTCTTTTAAAGAAAGACACTGAGCTTCTGACAAAATAAGGAATGCCAGAAAGGGGTGGGGGTGTGGTGGGAGGGGCCAAATGCCCTGCACCATGCAGGAGTTAGGCCAGGGAAAGAGAATACTAAGGAGGAGGTGTTACAAGGAGTCTCAGAAAACTAGAGTGCTTTTGTGGCTGGCTTCTCCTCCTTGTCACTCTAATGTGAAAGCTCTTCTGGCAAGCAACTCAATCCTAAGCATCCTTTGTAGCTAAGGGTGACCCATGCAGTGGTTTTGGACAATGAAATATATACAGAAGTACCTGGCATAGGAGTCGCTTTCTAAATAAAAGGGCAAAGCCTCCCAAAGATAAAGGGCTTTATCTTTTGCTCTTCCCTTTTCCCCCCTGCTGAGATTAGGACAGACATGGTACTGTAGCCTTCTTGCAGCCTTGAGGATGAAAGCTCCCTGATAAGCATAGCAAACCAGGAAGATAGAAGAAGGCTGGGTCTTTGCTGACATCCATACCATCCTGGGACAAGGAATCCCCAGTCTTCAATTTTTTTTCTTTTTTGAGATGGAGTCTCACTCTGTTGCCCAGCCTGGAGTGCAATGGTGCGATCTTGGCTCACTGCAACCTCTGCTTCCCGGGTTCCAGCGATTCTCGTGCCTTGGCTTCCTGAGTAGCTGGGATTACAGGCACACACCACCACGCCCGGCTAATTTTTGTATTTTTAGTGGAGATGGGGTTTCACCATGTTGCCCAGGCTACTCTTGAGCTCCTGAACTCAGGTGATCCACCTGCCTCAGCCTCCCTAAGTGCTGGGATTACAGGCACGAGCCACCGCACCAGGCCAGTCTTCTTATGTGAAAAAAATCAGCCTTACTGTTTCAGCCATTGTTGGCTGGCTTCCTGTTATTTGCAACAGAATTGATTCTCAACTGAGACAGCTATACACTTCTGAGTTGTAGGAAGAAAGATTTAAATTCCACCAAGAAGGTCTTTCTATTGATTAGAGTAGTTCAGCAATAAAATGGACTTCCTTTATCTTTTTCTCTGAAACTGCTCTTCCTCCCTGCAACCCCCAGCGTATGCCCCAATCTGGTGAATGTCCCCACCAGCTCTCTGCTCATCTTGGCCGGGGACTAGTAGTCAACCTTGATTCATCCTCCTACAACCTGCATATCTAATTGGTGGACACTTCGGTTGCTCCTATTTCTGTGACATTTGTGGGCTTGGGATCCAGAGGACACGTATGAGGATGATGTGTGTGAAGTGGGTGATATTATTTTCAGGTCACCCTTCTGCCCCCCTGTCTTGCTGCTTTTGTTCAGGTTTTAAAACATCTCTTACCTGCACTACCACAGGACACTTGCAACTGGTCTCCTAGCCTCTGATCGTTCACACTGATACTCAGTAATCCTTCCGAAATGCAATCTGTTCCTGTGACTTCTCTACTTGAAAATCTCACGAACTGTTTTTTTTTTTTTTTTTGAGACGGAGTTTTGGTCTTGTCTCCCAGGCTGGTCTTTGGTCAACTGTGTTTCCATTGTTGACCACAAGGGAGTCAGCAGAGGAGGTGTGGGTATCTTTTTTTTTTTTTTTTTTTTTTTTTTTGAGTTGGTGTCTCGCTCTCTTGCCCAGGCTGGAGTGCAGTGGCGTGATCTCGGCTCACTGCAACTTCCACCTCCTGGGTTCAGGCTATTCTTCTGCCTCAGTCTCTCGAGTAGCTGGCATTATAGGCATGCGCCACCACGCCTGGCTAATTTTTGTATGTTTAGTGAAGACAGGGTTTCACCATGTTGGCCAGGCTAGTCTCAAACTCCTGACCTCAGGTGATCCTCCCGTCTCACCCTCCCAAAGTGCTGGGATTACAGGCATGAGCCACAGTGCCCAGCCCTGCAAACTATTAAGTTAGTTTAGAAGTTAAAAGTTGAGTGTGACTTCTCCTATTGCTCTAGAATTGGTAGCAGAGTCCATATTCTAAAGAAAGTCAGCAAATATTAGGGCCAGATCTTCCTGCACCCTCTTCATACACACACACACACATGCAACTAACCAGGTATTTGTAGGAGGCAAAGGAGCTGGCCCCACTGCAGTCTCTCACCACTCTAGTTTATATAAGGTAAGGGCCAGGGTATGGCCATAAAACCATTTCTAGTTTCATTGCTATTGCTATGGTTGTGGGGGAAAGGCAATGTTTATGCTGAGACTTTTTCTCCCCTCTCCCTGGTTCTTTCTTCTTCCCCTATGGAAGAGTAGAGTGCACATCTGCATAGGTACTAGGCCTATCTGAGCAGGAAAAGTAATTGGAAAGAGAGGCAGAGCAGAGGGAAAGAGGGCAACAGGGGAGCAGCCTGCCAGCTGCCTTTTGAATGGCTGATGAAGTGTACCTTTTCCATGGAAGGCAACTGGGCGTGAGACATTTCCATTACCCCTCCAAGGGGGCTGCCTGCCAGCAAGGGTCCTGCAGCCTCAAGCAGCTGTGGATGAAACCTGGTGGGAGGTGAGAATGGCGGAGGCGGGTAAAGAACTGAAGCTGAACCCTAAACTCCTTTCCCATTCATGGGGAAGCTTGCAAGGCCCCCTAGGAATCCACACAGGTGCCCCCGCCTAGTGGTGGAATGCCAGAAAAAGGATAGGGGTAGAGGCCAAATGGCAAGCCGTGACCATGCATCATGCAGGAGTTAGCACATGGAGGGCATCGACCTCTTCTGCTAGCCACAGGAGCTAACCAGGACTGGATCACAACTGCTCCCAGGTAAGTGAAGAAGCCTTTGCCGGTTTTATTTTTCCTGGTATCCTCTCTCTTACCCCGAAGGTCCAGGACCCTAAGAAACATGGGTAGGAGAAGAATAAAAGCTCTCACCCCTATTCCAAGACCTGGATCACAGTCTAGTTTCCAGAGTGGGAGGAGATTGTTTTATGTCAGATATGAAATTGGATTTTTGAACTGGACTGAAATGTACTACTTAAGGAGGCTGAATATAAAGGAATCTGAACCATAACAAAGGTAGGAGGAATGGCTGGAGGAAGCGATGCCACTCCATCTTCATTCTACTAACTGATGCGCTACTCAGTTCATCAGGGTGTGGGCTCTGTCACCTTTGTAGCCTCATTTATTCCACTCCTTTCAGGATTCCCTGTATTCTAGCCTTACTAAATTCTGTGATGTTTTCTGAATGTTTCAGTTGGCTCTAGCTCCATAATTACATCAAAATTTAGTGGCATAAATACAATAACTGGCTGTGTGTGGTGGCTCGTGCCTGTAATCCCAGCACTTTGGGAGGCCGAGGCAGGTGGATCACCTGAAGTCAGGAGTTCGAGACCAGCCTGGCCAACACGGTGAAAGCTCGTCTCTAATTAAAGTACAAAAATTAGTTAGGCATGGTGGTGGGTGCCTGTACTCCCAGCTACTTGGGAGGCTGAGGCAGGAGAATCACTTGAACCCAAGAGGATGAGGTTGCATTGAGCCGAGACTGCATGATTGCACTCCACCTAGGGCGACAAAAGCGAAACTCCATCTCAAAAAAAAAATACAATAATCATTTTATTATTGCTTGTGGTTTTATGAGATGGCTGGGCTCAGCTGGGCAGCTCTTCTGCTGGTAGTTCTTGAGGCCTTTTATATGTTTGTGGTCAAGTGGGTCTAGGGTTCAACTTTGCTGAGGCTTAACTAGGACTTGATGACTAGACCGCTTTTCCAAATGTTAGGACTTTTCACTCCTTGTGGCCCTTTGTGTAGCTTCTCCATGTGCTTTCTTCACCATTCCAAAGGAAGGACAGAGAACTGCCAGTCCTCTTAGAGACGAGGCAGGACATGGACATAATGTCACCACTGCTGCCTTCACCACACTGAGGACTCTCTTCTATTTTATGTTTCTAATTTTTTGATTATGATGACTCTTTTGATGATATGAACTACCTGCCCCTTAAGCCTTCTCTGAATAGCACTTATCAACTCAAGCTAGGTCTGATCACTGTCTTCTGTGTGCCCTGAACATAGGTTTTGGTTTAGTTGCCACTTTTTCCCCAGCTAGACTAGAAGCTAACAAATGGTCATGCCTTTCTCACTCTTTTTCCTTAGGGCTAGCAAGAGGTGTTGCTGGACACATAGTAGGCAAGTAGTAAGCATTTATTGAATCAATGAATGAATGAATGAGCTTATTTATACCTATGAGGTCTATTCCAGCTGAGGTGATCACCATAAGGATTTTTGTGGAACACACTCCAGCAAGTTCAACCAAGTGACATCTGATATCTTTTCCAACTAAGAAATTTTATGAATCTTGATCAAGAGAGGGGACAGCTTTGGGGCAAGAGTGGGAGGATGTGTTGTGAGAGATAATGCATGAGGAAGTATTTTTAAAATTACAAAATGTAAGAGCAAGTATTATTAGTCTCTCAATTTCAAGATCCCAGTGGATAGCTATACCACAGGACTTAAATCCAAGATTACCTTGTGATGTTTGGAGAGGAGAGAGTTAAAGATTAGTTCCAAGTTACATAATATGAAATAAGAAAAAGACAAACAAGTTCTTTTGACCTCACTTAAGTTTTACTTGACCTTTGAATACAAAATAACGCATGAGCAGCTGCCCCAAATGTTACCCTTTTTTCCATGATAGAAAATAGAAAAACATTTCCAACAATTGTTTATATCATGTTTTTCTTTTGGAACTGTGTGTATGATCAGATGCCTCAGAAAACACCAAAGATAATGAAAAAGCCCTTGGTTCCTGAAGAAGAAAGGTTAAGGGTCCATTTCCCTTTCATCGCTAGAGGCCATTGTAAAGTAATACATATTTTAATCGCTTATGGAATAATTTCTATTGACCTTTGTGTGTTTGAGTAACTCTAAAGCTTAGTCTCTTTTTCCTAATCACCTAATTTATTCTCACGTATAAAGTAGCGTACAGTAGTCATGCATTAAAGTTACTTATCACTGATTTAGGTGTTTTTTTTTTTAAAGGAGGCAGCTTAGTCTTATCTGCAGTTCCAGCAATGAATAATCTGACAGTCAGATATTTCAAAATACTTAACGACTTTTTGCCCTTAACTGCAGCTGCTACAGAAAAGAAAAAAGCAGTAAGTACACATAATGGAAATCTCTCCCCAATGGCCTTTTCATTTCCTCCAAGCCCAGGGGAAAAGCATTTCATGGGGTAGCAGGCATAGGGAGGGTTAGCAGCAAACAATATTAAAAGAGGTATGAAAGATATAATTTTTTTTCAGTAACAGTAGGTCACACCAGGAAACTAATGGAATTCTGTGGTTTGATCCTTGTGAGTACCATGAATGTCAGTCAGGTTTTAAGACTAAATGGGTAGAAATAACTAGAAGCTTTAAAAGTTTCATGGAACAATAGGACATGTATTGCTGAAGAAGACCTCAGCCATGGATCTTTCTTATCTTCTAAGTTTCAGCTGGACCCAAGAAGGTTAAGTGCCTTGGCCAGGATTTCTTTGTTGGTGGCAGAGTGGGGATTAGATCCACGCTTCTCAACCTGGGACTGTACCTTGAAACCACTTTGGAGTCTCAAAAATCTCAATGTCTGGATCCACCCCCAGATATCCTGACTGTGATCAGTCAGGTGTGACCTGGACATTGAGACCTGGAGTGCCCAACTTCTCTTTCAGGATGCTTTCCACATCCTCACCCACCTTGTGCAGTGTTTTGTTGGGGACAGGACCTAGACATACTTGCCACAGTGTGTTTCCTCTTCAGCACATGTGCCTTTCTATCTTCCTGCCTCCTGCAGACTCATCTCTGAAGCTAGGAACTGAGCAAGATTGTTGCAATCTAGATCCCGACCTGTCTGTCTAGGTGTGGGTTCCATTCTCATATAAACTGCATGTTTTTGTCTTTGCGCAATATGCCAATTGGTGTGCAGAGCTCTGCTGTTAACATGCCATCCGTTCTCCTTCCTTCACCTAAATGAGCAGCTGTACCCTCATTTCTGCCTTCCTGGGGAAGCAAGTCCCTCGTTTCCCCTCACCTGTCACTTTGCCAGGAGAAGACACAGTGAGGAAGCTCCTCACTCGCCTTTAGGTGAGGACATTAAACATGTCTTTTTCTCCGTTATCCTCCAATACAAGCGGCCACTTTTCCCACCAAGCAGGTAACCCCGTGTCAGTTTAAAACACAGAATTTAGAGTTGGAAAGGACCTTCAAGATCATCTGGCTCTGTGTCTCACTGGGCAGAAATCCTTTCTCTGTTCGCCTGGCAGATGGCTCTCTGGCTTTGACTTGGATGCCCACTGTGAAAGGAGCTCATTTTGTCCCATCCCAGCCCATGCAGCTGTTGAGTAATGCTAGTTATTAGCATAACTTTTTAAGTTAGATCATTTCTCATATTCCCCTGGCAGATTTCCCAATTATAAATGCCACCACTGGGTCCTAGTCAACTCTGTTTCATCACAGAAGATGGGTTTAGGAGAATGGCCAGAATGGAACCCCACTGCCAGCATTCCCCCTTGGAAGGACCAGTGAATGAGGCATGTCTGAAATGGGGTACCTAACAAGCTGTAAGTTCTTTCGACCTTGACCTTGCATAACTCATTTTCTCCATTAGCTGAGAGCATCAGCTGCATTCTGTGCAAAGGCAGGTTATTAGAGTGAGCCTGTGTCTCTCGGTGGCTCCACACACCTGCACCACCATGCCAAGAGCCCAGATCAAAACAACCTCATGGAGATGAGTGCATGCTTCCCCAGGAGGGTGCTATGTCTTGCTAGTGGTGCAGTTCCTCACACTGCCTATAAATCCCTGAGCTCCCCAGAAGGTTGTTTATGAGAGAAGGATGTTGGATCACATACTTCTTCAAAAAGCAACAAAATATTTGCAGTGGTGCCTGATTTTGCCTTAGCGATGGATGAAACTCCAGAAAGAATATAGATATAACCTACGAGTATCCGCTGAATGCTCGAACAGGTGGGGATTTTGAAAAAACCTGTGAAGGCACTCTCTGTGCCTTGCTACCCAGTGTGCGGTGGGCAGACTGGCAGCTTATTAATCACCTGGGGGCTTGTTAGAAAGGCAAGATCTTGGGCCCCACCCAGAACTACTGAGAAGAGCTGCTTGAGAGATCTTTCAGAACACTTGCGTTTCCACCTCCCAAATCCCGACTGACGTGTCCTCATTTCAGCTTTCTTTTTTTTTTTCCTCTCTTTTTTTTTTTTTTTTCTTGAGACAAAGTCTCGCTTTGTCCTCCAGGCTGGAGGGCTATGGCGTGATCTCGGCTCACTGCAGCCTCTGCCTCCTGGGTTCCAGCGATTTTCCCACCTCAGCCACCCAGGTAGCTGGGATAACAGGCGCACACCACCACACCTGGCTAATTTTGTGTTTTTGGTAGAGATGGGGTTTCACCATGTTGGCCAGGCTAGTCTTGAACTCCTGGCCTCAGATGATCCACTTGCTTTGGCCTCCCAAAGTGCTAGGATTATAGGCGTGAGCCACAGCGCCTGGCCTCTCATTTCAGCTTTTTTAGAGATCTGCTGTCTGTCAGGTCGTAGCTCTCTAGCTCATTATAATAATGGAAAATAGGTGCATTTCATGAAAATAAGGTGCATTTTAACTGGATGGAGACAGCATCTTAACCCAGAACAGTGGGCAACGTGGCAATGAAGTGAGTGGTTACTGGGACAGAAGAACTTCTGGCGTGTTTTAATCCAAAGGCATAGGGATGAGGCTGCAAGATCATGGGGCGATCATTCTTGAATTATCATGGGGTCATTCATTTGTTCATTCATTCATTCATTCTAAGAGTAGATATGATCATTGTAGCAACTTGATTAAATACAGAAGTGTATAGATCAAAAATTAAAACCATACATATTTCCACCACACCAAAAACTATTGGTAACATTTTATTGTGGTGCATGTGCTTACAGATATTTTTCTATTAAAGACCTACCATTTATATAATATGCATTTGTATGTTTGCTTAACTTTGACATAATATTATGAGCAGTTTCTATTTATCTGTATTCTTCAAGAATGTGATCTGATTTTAAATAGTTGCAATGTATATACTTATCAAACTATGCTTGTCCAAGTTCTTATTGCTGGAAATTTAGTGTGTTTTATTTACAGTTCATCTTCATTATAAGTAGCATTGGGATAAGCATCAGTGTGCATGAATCTCCGTGCACACATTTAACATTTATTGAATTCCAATGTGCCTTACACTAATTGCCAGGCATGCAAAATTAAGTCCAATGGAATCTTGCTCTTTGTGAGGGGCTTATATGCAGAGTTCATAATAAAATGAATCAAGGTCTTTGGTAATGTCTACAGAAAGTTAAAGTCAGTGTGTTCGTATTTTTATCCTGTGCATTTTTCTCCTTTGTTTTGTACCTTGAGGAGTTGCTTCATTCAACGTTTCACAGGTGACACACTTCTTAATTACTAAAGGAGACGGTACTGATAATAATTCCTAATTGAGCATATAGTGTTTAACATCTCAGGCAGAATCTAAACATGACATTTTCAAGATATTCTCAAAACCTCTACAGTGCATTCCTTTTCATAGTTGAGCCTTGTGACTAGGATGGGACTGTAATGGGAATATTGCATTTTTTGGCATGGCAGTGATGAATTAATCCTCACTCTTTGCACGGACCTTGTAATGAAGAAAGCCATGACTTGCATAGCAAAATGGCTTAGCATTTTGGAGGAGCAACAGTGAATTTTGTGCATAGCTGCAATCTCTTTCAACCATGATGGGGATGTGTCCCAGACCCTCAGCTGCAGAGCCCTGCTGGAGTACAGAGACAAGCATTAGCCCTGTGACTCATTCCAGCCCTCGGTAGCTATCTTTTCTTTTGCTCTTGCAGCCTTTCACTGGTAGCATTGAGGCTTCGTTTTGTACATTTTAAGTGATAGGTCACTGTCAATGTTGGGGGTGGGTACTTCTGCCTTTCACATATCTGAATCCCATTTCTCCAGTCTATTTCTCCCCATTGTGGAGAGGCTTTGGGGCAGGTCATAGCTTTCTTTTTTCTTTCTTTCTTTTTTTTTTTTCTTTTTTTGAGATGGAGTCTCGCTCTGTCGCCCAGACTGGAGTGCAGTGGTGCAATCTCGGCTCACTGCAAGCTCCGCCTCCCAGGTTCACGCCATTCTTCTGCCTCAGCCTCCCAAGTAGCTGGTACTACAGGAACCCGCCACCACGCCCAGCTAATTTTTTTGTATTTTTAGTAGAGATGGGGTTTCACCATGTTAGCCAGGATGGTCTCGATCTCCTGATCTCGTGATCTGCCCACCTCGGCCTCCCAAAGTGCTGGGATTACAGGCATGAGCCACCGTGCCCGGCCAGGGCAGGTCATAGCTTTCTTTAGTGTTTGGCGCAGGTCAGTTCCGTAAGAGGCAGGTGCCAGGGGTGAGGGCAGAGTTCCACAGGCAAACACAGAAGCCTGCATGCTCTTCAGCCTCTCAGATGTGGGGGAGGTGAAGGTCATGTTTCATCTTACACTGCTGACTAATCTAGAGCAGTGTCAGAGCATCTCATTGCACAGCCATAAGGAGGTCATTCACTATCACACAATTATTGCCCCACATTTGCACTTATAGTTGGCTCTTCTCAGCTGGAGTCACTCTGGGTTCTGGAGCCTAGTTTTTTTCTGGGATCAGGTTGGCTGATGCACCTGGGGGGCCCATACCCCAGATCTCAGCTTCTCCATAGCAGGTTGAAAGACTTATCATCATTTCTAAAGAGTTTAGCAGAAACTCAAGTTACTCTCTATATAAACCTGGCAGTTCAAACTTTTCAAAGTGCCTCTGGAAGGTCCTTGTCATTGGGACCTCCTAATACTCTGAGGAGTTGCCTCACTTTACGTCTGGCAGGCCAGGGCTCCAGCCTGTGAGCTCAGTGACTTGCTTTGGGTCCACACTTGCACCACTCTGAATTCTTCCCAGGTGTGGAAGAGTGAAAATCCTGATTCTGAGCTCACAAAGGAGTAGACGGCTAGTTAGTGCCAAGAGGGGTAGATGTGAGGCGTGCTCAAAATGCACACAGCCATACGTAGAACCTGCCACCCACAGTCTCTTCTGAAGTGGCCTGGGGCTGGATGAAGGTTTCAGAGTGCACCCTCAGCTCCACTCTGCTTATTCCTTCACCTACAGATACTCAACTGGAGCTTTCCCAATGCCAGGCACCTTCACAGCATGGAGGACCTCACCATGAGGGAGGCAGATGTGGTGTTTATAGAAGAATGAGATCAACAAACAAGAAGTTAAATATGGAGCAAGATGGCTTCAAGAATCCAGTACATGCTGTAAAGGAGGCGAATCAGGGTGTTAAGACTGTTCATGTGTCGCGAAGGCATGCGAGGAGCCAACATTCAAGCTAAGAGCTAAACAATGGGAGAAGTCAGTTGTTAGTGGATGAGCTACAGACAGAGGGACAAAGGAGTGACAGCAGAGAGATGTGCAACAGAGAGAAATGCAATGCAATATGAGTTCTGATGGTAGCACCTATGCCATGCTGATGAGTTCCTTTGAGGGCTGTGCCATCCTGGGTGTTATCATTGTCTGCCTGGCCATTTCCCCTCTTGAGGACATGTTACCAACTGCTGTGATTGAGAATTCAGGGGACCACACTAACATCAGAGGAAACTAGTGCACACTAACCTCTTGCATAAAGTGAAAGGAAATTGATCTACCACCAAGATTCTTATAAGTGATGTTTTTCCCAATCCCTGACCATGGCCAGTGTCATGAAGTTGTCATTGCAATTGGACTCAGAACATTAGGGGCCTGGAGAAAGAAATACAGGATTAGGTCTTCTAAGCCTTTGTTTATACCCTGGGTCCTTTTAAAATTCCTATTTCAGACTCTGGGCCTGTGGTCCTTCCTAAAATGTACAACTAAAGCAATTCTCTAAGGGTTGAAGTTTTTTTAGAGGGACATTAAATGGTTTTTCTTCAAAAATTTGACTCAAAGAAGGAAGGGACCAAAGATATACACATATTCTTTGGTACCGTTACTTGCACTTAGAATCTGCATGAAAATGTTTAAATAGCTACCCCAGGCTTACAGCTTGTGGGCTGAGCTTTTTATCCCTATCTCCTGGTGCTCACCTCTTTGTCTAATTCCTTCCCCTTGAGTATGGGCAGGACCTGTGATTGCTTTTAACCAATAGAATACAGCAAAAAGAGTGGGCCATTGTTCCCATGGTTCTATTATGTAAGGTTTTGTTTTGGTTGCCAACATGAGAGACTCTCCTTGCTGGCTGGATGAAGTAAGCAGGCATTTTGAGGAAGCTATGTGGCATGGGTTAACAGGCAGCCTCTAGGAGCTAAGGACAGCCTCCCAACATCAGAAAGAAGCCAAGGGCCTCATTCTCACAACCTCAAAGAAATAAATGCTGCCAATAACTGGAGTGAGCTTGGAAGTGGATTCTTCCCCACTCCAGCCTCCAGATGAGAACACAGCCTGGTCAATACCTTGATTATAGCTCTGTAAGACCCTGAGCAGAAGACCCAGTAAAGTTGTGTCCAGATTCCTAATACCTCAAAACTGTGAAATAATTAATGCGTGCTGTCATAAACCTCTATGTAGGGGTAATTTGTTATGTGGCATAGCAAACTAATACATTTATGAATCTATTTAACCTGGGATTGATAAAAGCAGTGGCTTTGGCTAGGTTGGATATTTTCATGGGCAGCAGTTCTCTAAGTGACTTATGGGTCTGTGAGGTGAAATCTCCATGGTCTGGGGCTTGGCTGTGGGCAGGAGAGATGACCCAGAGTCAAGATAGAGAGTGGCCAAGACCAGCCCTTAGGCCAAACCCCAGCCTGCCTCCACCCACAAGAGGGAAATGGTCTTCCAGTAAGTTATTTATAGGCAACAGAGGTTGTTAGCAGCCAGCAGAAAAAGCTTACATTTGGGAAGAAAAAGTACCAAGATAGCAAAAGTGAAGAAAAGACTAGTGGTAAAGAAAAAAGAGATAAGAAATGGTAGGAAAGATTTTCAATAAGAGGTGACGGGTCTGGGCTAATATGAATGGGGTTACCCTAATCAGACCTAATCAGGACAGGGATACCCTAATCAGACTTAATCTCAATGGGAATACTTAAATCAGACCTAATCTGGATGGAGACACCCCCAGTGAGGCCCCATCTGGATGAGTACACCCCAATCAGACCCAATCTGGACAGGAACACCCCAGTCAGACCCAACCTGGATGCAAATGGCCAATCAGATTTCATCTGGATGGGGACACCCTAATCAGACCTAATCTGGATGGGGAAAGCCCAATCAGAACTAATCTGGATGGGAGATACCCACCAACTCTTGCTCCCTAGCCAGCTAAATTGCCAACTCCAAGAATTTATAAAGATCCTATTAAAAAAATAATAACATTAGGAAAGCAACCTCTGGCACTTACAGCAGAAAACTAGAACTCATTCATTTAAAGAACAGCTTTAGAATTTTCTAAATCATAGAAAGCCTTCCTTCTCTCACAAGCTAATTCTGCAAAGGATCAAATACAGATTTATGGGGGTGGTTCTAGGAGTCTAATTGAAAAGTAAAGGAAATTCATGACTGTGCTTCAGTTCCTTTATTTTCTTTGGAGGCAAAGCATCAGTGCTGGCCCTGAACGAACAAGTATAACCAACTTCCAGCCCTGTGTGAGATATTACTGGTATTGTCTTTTTCTGCATCAAAAAGGTCCTTTGCATCTGTGGAACTTCTACAGGGTCATGAGTCAACTTTCTACCTATACTTTTTGAGTAGGGTTGCCAGACTGAGCAAATAGAAATACAGGGCACTAAATTATATTTTAATTTCAGATCAACAAAAAATAATTTCTCAGTATAATTCTATGTCAAATATTGCTTGGGACATACTTATCCTAAAACCAAAATTCATTGTTAATCTGAAATTCACATTTTATTGGGCATGCTGTATTTTTATCTGCAGTCCTATCATAGACGCATTTCAATGAAAAATGCAAGCCCCCCCCACCCCAAACATGTGTTTGAAGTTTTCTTTTAGGAACATCATTCCACTGTAAGAGCTTTAAAAAAGAAAAGCCAAGATTATTAGTAAGGATTCTAGGCATCTATATGTAGTTTTAACTTTACCTTATTAGATAAGAATTAATTTTTAGCTAGATTATCTGGCCGATGAACTATGATGAATATAAACAATTGAGGATCTCATAGTACCTGTTCTTCAGTATTTTATATAAGAAGGAAATGTAAAATAAATTTGACTTTGAATGTCAGTATCTGCATTGCCACCTTCTATTTAACATGGTAACCATGTTTTACTGATCATGTTTATGATAAACAGTCCATTATCATTTTATGAGTTGAGACCAATGTGGAACCCAGTAAGAAGAAATATTCCTCTAGAAACTACATGCAGGATGACTTCACATTTAAATAATCTTTTAAAAGTAGATTTAATTTAGTCTGAGAAACAACAGCCCCATGTCTAAACAAATTTTTCCACTCCGGAGTATAGAAAGGCAAGTATTTATTCTGAGGCCTAAGACAGGTTTAATTGCTATTGAAAACAAAAACGAAGTTATTTAGTGTTTTCATTATAAATCTTGGTTTTTGACTTAAAAAGGAGAAACAGAAAAAACAACCCATGGCTCCAAACTGAAACTGCAATTTTACCACTGAATGGAAAGTTTTAGGAACATGCGGTGAATTGTTTCCCCAGGACTGCCATAAACCAAGTACCACAAACTGGATGGCTGAAAATAATAAACCGTGTTGTCTCATGTATTTGGAGGCTAGAAGTCCCAGATGGAGGGATCTGCACAGTGGGTTCCTTCTAAGAGCTGTGAGGGAGAATCTGTCGCATGCCTCTCTCCCTCTCTCCTAGTTTCTGGGGGTTGCCAGCAGTCAATGGCATTTCTTAGCTTGTGGATCCATCACTCCAATCTCTGCCTCCATCTTCATATCTCCCTGAGTGCATTCTGCCTGAGTGTCTGAGTCTTCACATGGCTGACTTCTTATAAGGACACAAATCATTTTGGATTAGGGGTCCTTTTGACTCCGGTATGACCTTATCTTAACTAATGACATCTGAAATGACCCTATTTCTTTTTTTTTCCAACTTTTATTTTAGATTCAGAAAGCATATGTGCAAGTTTGTTACATGGGTAAATTGTGTGTCACTGAAGTTTGGTATACAAATGTGAGCATAGTACTAAATAGGTAGTTTTTCTTTTTCTTTTTCTTTTTCTTTTTCTTTTGTTTTTGAGACAGTTTCACTCTGTCACCCATGCTGGAGTGTGGTGGCATAATCTTGGCTCACTGCAACCTCTGTCTCCTGGGTTCAAGTGATTCTGCCTCGGCCTCCCAAGTAGCTAGGATTACAGGTGCACACCACCACACCCTGCTAACTTTTGTATTTTTAGTAAACACGGGGTTTCACCATCTTGGCCAGGCTGGTCTTGAACTCCTTACCTCAAGTGATCCACCCATCTCGTCCTCCCAAAGTGCTGGTATTATAGGCATGAGCCACTGCACCCAGCCAATAGGTAGTTTTTCAACCCTCATCCCCCTCCCACTCTCCCTCTTCTAGTAATCCCTAATTTCTATTATTCCTGTCTTTATGATCATGTATACTTAATGTTTACCTCCCACTTATAAGTGAGAACATGCAGTATTTGGTTTTCTGTTCCTGCATTAATTTGCATTAATTGGCCTCTAGCTGCATCTGTGTTGTTGCAAAGGACACGATTTCAAAGACCCCATTTCTAAAGAAGATCCCATTATGAGGTACTAGGAGTTAGAATTTTGACATATTTTGGGGGGGGGGACACAATTCAACCCATAACATAGAGTATACACATTTCAGCCAAGCAAAGTTTACAAAATGTTGCCTAATTTTTCCTCCTTTTTTGCAATTCTCATCTTCAGTTTTCAGACGTCTGAAGTCTCCTCCATGCCGATTTTGATCTATTTCTCCTGAGATGTTTCCCCTTCCACGAAGACCAGAGGATCTAAAGGGGCTATAGGAATGGCTGATTTTCAATGGGCAGAGAGTTCTGTGCAGTGGCCGCGTGTGCGGTCATGATGGGCACTGTCGGTGGAGAGCTGACATGGTGTGATCATCAGGAGGTGCAGCTCTGGGGGCTGCCATCTGCGGTGCCTCCTCATCTTAGCGCCTCCCATCCTTTGCCCTTCTTCTTTCCTTTCTTCTCTCTGGTGCCGTTCCTGCCTTAGTGTGGCCACCTCCTGTCTGTTCTCCTGGTGTTCCTGCACCTCTGTTGGGCAGTGAGAGGAAGATTAGCTGTTTGAAATCTCTCTGTGTAGCTCCCCTGCTTCTTCAAAGAAAAACTGTCACATAAAAGTCACAAGTAATTAAGTCTGGAATGTAGACTGCAGCACAGGGCATTGGGCCTAGTGTTGGAAGGCATGGCTCGTTCGAATGACTGCTAAGAAAGACCTGAAATAGTAATCGTATGAAAAGATAAGTCTCTGTTTTTCTCTCACTTCACGTGAGTTCCATAACTATGCAAGCCAAGGCTAGTAGGGTGGTGCCATGAGATCCTGTGAGATGCAGGCCCCTCTTGTCTGTCTGCTCCACCATCGAGGATCCTGGATTCTGAGATCTGGTCATCACACCTTCCCTCCAGGCAGGAGAAATGGCTGGGGAACGGGGAAGGATTCTCTCTCCTCTCTGAGTAAGGCTCCCTTCCAGAGCTTCCTGGGAGCCCTGACCAATGACTTCTGCTCCTGCCTCATCGGATGCCCTCTGTCTAAGGGAGGCTTGGAAAAATACTTCTAGTGGGACAGTTTGCTACCTCTCAGCAATGCAAGGGTCCTGTTTGAAAATAAAAGGAGGAAAGGAGATGATGGGCAAGCACTGGTGGCCTCTGCCACAGCCTGACCCAGCCTTATGGTGACACCTGGGACTGGTGCACCACTAATTGTGTCTCCTCCTGTCTGCTGGATGGGCATCAGAGTTAGCACCCGGCCACCTTCTGGGGGTCTTGGGAAAGGGAACAGTGATGGGAATGCTCAGTGAGTTCTTCAGAAGAAGCCACCCCCTTCAAGGGTCTGTGATCCAAACAACGGCAAGACCCACAGCCTGAGGATGGATCAGACCTCGAGTCTCACCTGTGCCTGATGCAGATAATATTACATGAGATTTTGGGCTTAGAGTTGATGCCAGACTGGGTTAAGATTTGAGGGCTTTTGAATGAGGTGAATGTATCTTGCATGAGGAAAAGGACATGAATTTAGGGGGCAGGGGGTGGAGTTTGATAGGCTGAAATGTGTCCCACCTCCCAAATTCACTTGCTGAAGTCCTAACCCCTAGTATCTCCGAACATGGCTATATTTGAAGACAGGGCCTTTAAAGAGGCAGTTAAATTAAAATGAGGTCATTAGGGTGGGCCCCAATCCAATAGGCCTTGTGTCTTAATAAGAAGAGAAAATTTAGGGACAGAGACATCAAGGGAAGACTATATGAAGAGACAGAGAGAAGACGGCCATCTGCAGGCTAAGGAGAGAGGCCTCAGAAGAGACCAATGCTGCAGACACCTGGATCTCAGCCTTCCAGCCTCCAGCAGTGTGAGAGCATACATTTCTATTGCTTAAACCACTGTTTATGTGGTTCTTTGTTATGGCAGTCCTAGCAAGCTAATAAGGATTTTAGACTGTGTTCAATTCCTAAACTTGCAGGATACTCTTTAGCTGGGCTTATTCAATGGCACTGAATGAGAAGAATTGTTTTGTTTTTATCTTTCTGTATGTGGCTAGCCTCTTCACTCATGTCTAGACCCTGACACAGAGGCAGAGTGTTGAAAGCCAGGGACTTCCCTTCTGATCACAGGCACCATGAGCCAATGTGCAGAATTTGCTTCTGAATCTGAATGGCATTGATATACATCTGACTGGGGTGCACACATACCCTCTCCTCCAATTTCAGAGTCGTCAGCCAAGTAAAGGGAGCACTGGCTGCCCAGAAGGGAGAGGCCCCTTTCCAGACCCACTTCATCACAGTTCCCTCCGACTAAAACTGAACCTCATTACGAAGGAGAAGAACCACTTCTGAGAGCTGTTGGTAAACAAAATTTTAATGTAGTGTCTGGTGACAGCAAGGAAAGAGAGGAGGAAAAAACTGCTCTTCAGGTCAAATCCTATGAAAATAAGGACAGTTATCAAAAGATACCCAGCTGGGCGCGGTGGCTCACGCACAGGCGTGAAATCCCAGCACTTTGGGAGGCCGAGGCGGGTGGATCACAAGGTCAGGAGTTCAAGACCAGCCCAGCCAACATGGTGAAACCCTGTCTTTACTAAGAATACAAAAATTAGCCAGCGTGGTGGTGGTAGCCTGTAATCCCAGCTACTTGGGAGGTTGAGGCAGAGAATTGCTTGAACCCGGGAGGTGGAGATTGCAGTGAGCCGAGATCACGCCACTGCACTCCAGCCTGGGTGACAGAGCGAGACTCCGACTCAAAAAAAAAAAAAAAAAGATACCCAGGCCTCCTCTGCTGACTCCCTTGTGGTCAACAATGGGACCACGGTTGACCAAAGACCAGTCTTATTAGCTGGGCATCGACTGCATGAGAGGGAGGCTGAGGCACATACTGGAAAGGATTGACCATCCACTTACACCCTGCATGGCCCAGGCCTGTCACCCCTGAGGGGAAGGGACATCCCCCGCTGCCCGAGAGCTCAGCCTACAGCGTGCTGGCCTGCACAATGCCTCAACCTGTGCCAGTGCCGTGTGTGTGTCAGGGACCCTGGAGGTGAGGGAGCCCCAGCAGCTGGTGGCTGTCACTCCCCTTTCACCCATGGCTCCTCGGGTAACAGTATTTGAAACAATGTACAAAAGCTATTTGGCCATGACAACTAAGGTTGCTGGCTGCAAATGTGTGATTGTCTGTTTGAAATGAGAACAGCGTGGTGGATTGTTTAAGCCCATGAGCTTTGGTGTTAGACTGCTGGGCTTCAAATCCTACCTCAGTGTCCCCAGGATTAAACAGGTGAATTGTGACGTCTAGGTCAAAGGACTTATCTGAACATTAAACAGCATAATATGTCAAGAAGCATCAAGCATATTTTACATGATGGCTGAAACATTATGAACACTCAGTAAATGTGAGCTCTTTATGTTTTATATATATGTATGATATATTTCCCTGTTCCTAGATGGGTATAAACAGTGAAGAGTAATGATTAAGAGCACAGCTGGGATTGAGTCCTAGCTCCACCTTCTATAGCAGTGTGACTCCTCTCTGTGCCTCAGTTTCCTCATCTTGAAGATGTGGACAGTGCTGATATTACCTCACATGGCTGTTTTGAGGAGCAAATGGACCAAACCATGCACAGCATTTAGGATAGAGCCTGGCACATGGCGAGCCTGGTAAATCATGGTTATTATCATTATCATCATCATCATAATTATTACAACAGATTCAGAGGAGAGGTCAAGATGGACAACGAAGGCCTTTTTCTCATTTCTCTGTTCAAACATTACTTGGGTGTATGAGGCATCGTGATGACTTACATACATTGTATAATTTAATTGTCACTCAAGTCTGATAGTTGGCTGTTTTATTTATTTTAGAGATGAGAAATGTAAGATTCAGGCATTGGGGCCATTTCACCATGTCACTAAGTAACAAGGCTGGAAATCAACGGCAGACAGCCCTGACCCAGGGCCACCTGAGCCCACTGTGCCTTGCCCTTCCCCTGTCATATTGGTCCCCACTGTGACTAAAAGAGGAGCCCCAGGCTCATCATAGCTCTGTGTCCTCATCTGACCACACTTCTTGTCTCTGGCAATAAATATGCCTGAAGGCAAAAAGACACTGTCCCCTTGGGTCACGATAAAATCATGTGACTCAGCAGCCACATCTGCAGGGTGCATTAGTCATCAGAGGCACATGGCTCCCATGTCCCCTGTAGAGTCGAGAATAATATATTTTGGTGCTGAAATCTAGGGTCTGTGAGAGCCACAGCTTGCAAAGCAGAGCCCCAGGACTTGACTTCACAGTCTGGGCACCTCTAGTGGTGAAAGGTGCCATGGAAAGCTGAGCAGTTACAAGGAGGGGAAGACAGATTCCCCGGGTCATTTCAAGTAGGGGTCCAGGAAGACCATGTTCAGGCACATGAGGTGGCCCAGTAATCCCGCAATCTTGAACAACTTGGGGATCGAGTATGATATTGCAAAATGGAGTCTGATGGCATTGACTGTAAATACAGATGAGCTTTCAGAAATACTCAGACATTAACGATGCTTCAGCTACTTCCCAGGTTCTTGGGAGGAATTGAGGATGCAGAGTCTTGTGAGACATGGTTCCTGTTGCTGAGAAGCTTATGAGTTAGATGAGAGGCTGAAGTCTGTAGGTACAATTTATAACCGACAAAAGGCTAAGCGAGATGTATGCACAGGTCTCTTTGGCCACGTGGGTGGGGAAGCAAGGCAGACACTTCCACTGAGGTGTGGAAAAAAAGCACAAATGCACGTGGTCACATGGCAGAGATAGAGCAGCTTAACCTTAATCTTAATGAAACTTTTATTAGCATTGTGAACAGGTTCAGCTTTTGCTGAAACTGGTAATTTCTAAGCATAAATTTTTTTTCTTTTCTTTTCTTTTTGAAACCAGTGCAGACTGTCCTTGTATTACTTAGCTAGTCAGAAGTCTGATTACAGACTTGGCTAGACAATTGATTCTGAAGAAATAATTTTAGCCTATCTAATACCTTCATACTGATTTTTGATTATTTCTCCAAGCCTCTGGCTACATGTAAATCCATACTGATGACTTGGTACGTTTGCTTATTGAATAGAAACTTTATCTGATGGCAATGTTCTTTTCGTTCCCTGAAAACGTTAGTTTTCCAGGAAAAAGCTAAACCCACTCTTGGGCAGGAGACTATTACATTCCAGGATGTATTTCTATTTCTTTTTTTTTTTTTTTTTTTTTTTTTTTGAGATGGAGTTTCACTCTTGTTGCCCAGGCTGAAGTGCAATGGCACAATCTCGGCTCACTGCAACCTCCGCCTCCTGGGTTCAAGCAATTCTCCTTCCTCCGCCTCCTGAGTAGCTGGGATTACAGGTGCCCACCACCACCCTCGGCAGATTTTGTATTTTTAGTAGACGTAGTTTCTCCATGTTGGCCAGGCTGGTCTCAAACTCCTGACCTCAGGTGATCTGCCTGCTTCAGCCTCCCAAAGTGCTGGGATACAGGTGTGAGCCACCGTGCCCGGCCTCTATTTGTTCTCTAATAAAACTAATTTGAGTGATTATACTGGAAACCAAATTGTGTTCTTCCTCCTTGAGCAAAGTCAAGTTTTCTCATAGTGGCCCAGTTAGCACTTCCTTTCATTTTAATCTACTTTCTACCCATTTGCTGTTTCTTATGTCTTTGTTCTCATCAACTCTTGGGATTGATTTTCATAGTTTCGAAGCAGTGGCTCCATGCTCTCCACAAACATGTCAGTGACATGAATGTACTAAACGTGCAGCAAAGACATTTGAGTTTTCTCAAAAGTCAGAGTTTTGTTCATTTTTTGTCCCAGAGAAACTGAAAAGAGGGATTTGGACATTTACTATGCACAAGAGATGTAGACCTTGATTATTCTGAGATCATAATGTTGGAGGGAAACGTACCACATAACGTAATGTTGGAGAAGTAAATGGAATCAGATTCTAACCTGTGCATAACAAGGTGCAAAGCTCAGAAAGGCTTAGAGAGAAGACATCAAGATAAGCTATGTAGTTCAGGGACACCCCTGGGCATGGAAGGTGAGCGAGGCTGCAAAGTAGAGGCTCTGAACAAGTGAAGACCATCATCTACAGAGAAGCCAGAATGAAGATTTCCAGGCCCCATTCCCAGAGAGTCAGAGTCAGGAAGTCAGGCCTGCGGCCTAGGAACCTGCATTTTAACAACTGCTCTGTGCCCTTCTTATGTAGGTGGTCCATAGACCATATTTTGATAAATACAACCTTACAAGGTAGTTAAAGGGTTTCTGTGGATAAAATAAGGGGCAGCATTTTGATGTTAAAAACAAGCACCCAGCTGGAAAGTCATAGACCCCTGGTAGTTGCTAATGGCAGAAAGTGCTCACTGATGGAACCCTCCATGTTACTGAGCCAGAGCCCTTAGGGGACCTTGGAAAACCAATTTTAGTATGCCATAACTGCGGAATACCTTTCTCCAAGAAGCTGAAATAACCTGTGTCAATCACGGCCCCGTGAGTCTGGCAGATTGTGTTTGGGGGGAGAATGAAGACAAGTTGCTCTTTCCCCATTTGACAAATGAGGAAATAATGGCAGCACCAGAGGGGCCGTCCTTGCCGACTGTTAGTGATAGACATGATATCCATGATGGGACTCCAAGGGCACTTTGTGGTGGGAGAGGGGCGCTGCTGTGGGCAGGAGCGTGGTTGAACGGGGAGCAACAGGCCATCCAGTGAGGAAGTGGCTGGGAGCTGCTGCCCAGGGCGACATGCGTCGGCCAGCACCCAGAGTGGCCACGGGAGGCTCAGGAAGTTCTCAGTACCCGGAGCACATGTGCAGCTCGGAGGTGCAGGTTGCCAGGGCAGGGGTGGAACTGGACAGCCCTTAGACCTGCCTGTACTGGCTTTCTGCTCCTCTGTTTCCAGAAAGGACTTGAAGATGTGCTTCAATAAATGACCCAGAGGTGTACACACGTATGGTGTGTGTTTTATATGTGCGTGAGTTAGAGATGGCATATCAGGGCCATGAGAAAGAGGAAGAAATAAGATAATCCTGAAACGTAAGATCATTACCCTTAGTGAACCAGTGCAAAAAAGAAAATATGCTGGGTTATATAATTTTTGTTATGAAGAAGGCGAAGGAGGAGGAGGGAGGGAGAAAGACAGAGGAGGAGGAGACAAATTTTTAAGAAAATCTACATTTTTATGGCACAATGTTTTTTAAGTAGCCTGGCTCTTTATCATAAAGATACTATAGTCTCCTTGTAGAAAATTTTAAGATGGCATGAAAAGATAAACAAGAAAAAGCAGAAATTGTCACTGATCCTACTACACAATATTAAACACAGTTCACATTTTATTCTATTTTTAACAACTCCTTTCATTTTTCTTTTTTTATCCTTCTTACTATGGTAAATTGCAGGCTTACGCAAAAGTAGGGAGCAGAGTAGAGATCTCCCATATATCCAGCACAACTTCAGCAATAGTCAGCGTTCTGCTGTATTTTACTAGCTTCTCGGCTTCAAACTATACATGAAGATGTACCTGTTGTTTTCTCAGTGTGTGTCCTATTTTGAGTTTACTTTTATTGCTATGTCATTTAAAAGTATCTGTAAACAAAATCTGTAATGTTGTGCATAATTTCATAGTATGGTTGGTACTCAATTTTTTTTTTTCTTGAGATGGAGTTTCACTCTGTCACCCAGACTGGAGTGCAGTGGCACCATCTCAGCTCACTGCAACCTCTGACTCCTGGGTTCAAGCAATTCTCCTGCCTCAGCCTCCCAAGGAGCTGGGATTACAGGTGTCTGCCACCACGCCCAGCTAATTTTTGTGTTTTTAGTAGAGACATGGTTTCACCATGTTCGTAAGGCTGGTCTCAAACTCCTGACCTCAGGTAATCCACCCACCTCGGCCTCCCCAAGTGCTGGAATTACAGGCGTGAGCCACCATGCCCGGCTGGTACTCAATTTTAAAGAGAAGTTATCATCCAAATGTGATACTGGTAGCCTTTTGACAATTGCTCTCACTGTGGGTTTACAGCAAATACAGAAGCCAGCTCTGGGAGACCTTTCTCAAAGCATCCTTGTTAAAGTTAAAGAGTAGGACTTTCAAATGTCACCTGGTGAAAGGGGCTCTGCGCATGCCCTTCAGGTTAGCTCAGCCAGCAGTGTCCCATCCACCCACCTCCCCGTGGGTCTGAGAGTCAGGCTTCCATATTGCAGCCCTGCACCTGCTTCTCTCTGGGCTTGTGTTTTGGAGCCTGGTGCTTCCCTTAAGTTGTTGCAAATATTCTTTTCTCTTCCTGCGATAGCTGTTTCTTGCAAGTAATTTTATTAGAGAGTTGAACAAGTCATCCACCTCCATATGCTTATGGGATTACAAAATTGCAGCTTTGTCTTTTAGAAGAGAAAATTCACAGAGAAGGCAGGCCTTTGTAGTCACAGCTCTCATATTAAAGAAGCAAGGGCTCAGAGTTCAGCTCTCTCACCTCCCAATGTGCCAGAGTACCTGGTTCTGGTATCATCTGATAGAGTTAGGGGACAGGGAGCTGCACGTACAACAGTGGCCTTGCTGTTGGATTCTCTTTTTCAGGATTGCAATCATGAAGTATCTACTTCATAGTATTTCCTGAGGGCTACTCTATGCTATATATTTTAAGTATTGTTGCTATGTGCTGATAAATTGTACTAATATCCTCATCATCCATGAAACATTTTGGCCACTTGCTTGCATAAATTATGGCATCAAGTCTGTCTTGGGACTGAAGCCCTCAACAGCAGTTCAGATATTTGCTTATTAAGTTGCCCATAGTATTGCAGGTGCTGCTCTGCGCTCAAGATGCAGATACAAGTCTTATAAGTCTACCAAGCAGGACTTCTGGCAAAGTAAGCAATTGTCAGGCCAGGGCGTTTGGACTCGGTGAGTGGATGCTTTTTGTTTGACATGGAAAATTAGGAGAAGCCTGATGACCTCAAACAGAAAGTGGGAAGGAGCTGTACCTCTGCTTTATGCAGGTTCAGAGACGACAAGGGATAGCAACTCATAGGTTTCCTTCTAGGCCATACCATCAGGTGTCCGGAAGCTATCCCTGCATCCAGTAAAGTATTTCTGCAGGTTGCTGGGATGTCCCACGTGCTTGACTCTGGGGAAGTTGATTGAGGTTGCTGGAGGCTAGCAGGTGTTTGCCACTGGAGGAGGCAAGGCTCTGAAGAAGGAAAAAAAAAGGTAGTAAAGGGAGACAGGACAGAGCAGAGAAACTGGGTTGGCAGTGGCTTGTTGAAGGTATCCAGCACACCGCGCTGTTTTTGGCCACTATCAATCTACATTGTTCATGCCACACTGAGGTTGTATGTGGAACCACTGCCTGATTGCATGAACGTGATTCAATTGCATTGATTTCTTATTTTACAAAGAAGACTTCTTAAAGGCGTATGTAATGACGAGGGTTTTATTGGTTCTCTTCTGCACAGACTTGTGTGTAGAATACATTTGTTTTCCAAAGAACCTGGTTGTTACCTAAAGCCACCCCATATTACAAGGCACTAAAACAGATGATGACTATAATGACAATAAACAGCTGAAGTCTTCCTAGACAAAACCTGATGCTGGGACTGCGGCTGCAATCCAGGATCCCTGTGGGGAAGAAAGTGTACCCTTGTGTGGGTTTATGAATAATTTTCTACCAGAGAGCTCTGCTCCTGATGTCTTGCCACTGCATCATTCATGGTGTTTATAGGATGTCACCTCTGATCTCATCCAGAAAGTAAGGGAAAATAGTTGTTAAGGATTAAATGAAGTCAGGTGCGGTGGCTCACGCCTGTAATCCCAGCACTTTGGGAGGCCGAGGCGGGCGGATCACCTGAGGTCAGGAGTTCAGGACCAGCCTGGCCAACATAGTTAAACCCCCATCTCTACTAAAGATACAAAAATTAGTATTTTTAGACCTGGTGGTGGATGCCTGTAATCCCAGCTACTCGGGAGGCTGAGGCAGGAGAATCGCTTGAGCCTGGGAGGCAGAGGTTGCAGTGAGCCGAGATTCAGCCATTGCACTCCAGCCTGGACGACAGAGTGAAACTCCGTTTCCAATTAAAAAAAAAAAAACAAAAAGCAAAACAAAACAAAAAAACAAAAAAGAAAAAGAAAAAGAATTAAATGAAATGAACAGTGTGATTCAGGGCCAGGCCAGTCCACAGAACGTGGTCTAAGAAGACTTGAATTTCAATTCTTACTTACACTGCTCCTTTCTGTGCTTCAGGAAGGTACCTGGCCTCTCAGCACCAGTTTTCTCATCTGTAAAATGGGAGAGCTGGTTCCATCTGGACATTCAAGTCTCTCTTCACGTTAGGGGATTTTTAACTCTGCCAAAATGATTAGAAAAGCAATTTGAGTTTAAGGCCCACAGGAATAATAAAAGCAGGCATATGGTGAATTATTCGGGCCGAACAGTACCCAAGCCTTTCAGACAGCATGATATGAAGAGAAAGGACATTTTGTCCTTATATTTGGCAGCCTAACTTTGTTCGCTCGCTTCTACGAATGACAGCAGTAGGCTCATTCATCTTGCAGAGACCTTACCCAGGTGGACAGATGTTAAATAGCGTGTGCTCTGTGGATAGATATATTGCCTCGTCATTGGATAGGTTAGGTCAAAGCAATAAAATAGGTGGGAACTGCTTAGGCTCCATGCACTGTTTTAAAAAAAACTTTCAGCAACGGATAGCTGCTCTTCATTCAGACTTTCACTTCTTGCTCCTGGGGTTAATGCACTGGGGCCACCTGCTTCTGTAGGTGAGTGGTTATGGGTTCTGAACAGGCTGCACCGGTCTGATGCAGAAGGGTGATATGTAGCCACAGGCATATGAAAATTAAAGAAACTCCATGGGAACTCCATCTGGTTCCGTCGTTTGATAGGTGAGGGAGCCCGTGGTCGTGATGGCATAAGTCTTGTCACCATCAACTTCAGGTGACCTGGTGAGGCTGAGGTGGGTTTGGGCAACCTGAAAGCAGACAGGGCTGTCACCCCTGCACCTGATCTCCACCAGTTGTGCCCCTCTAAGATATAGCCAGGCTTCCTGGCAGGAGGTAGAGAGGACTGGTATGTTTGAGTTCCCACTATGCGTGTTGTGTGCCAGCTCTGCCTTTGCAACCATTTCTTTTAATCTTTACCACACACACAGCCTTGTGAAGAACATAGAATATGCCCTTGAAGGATGAGGAGGACTTTGGTGTTGGGAAGAATGAGAAGAAATTACAGATTCTCAATTCAGCAGATACTTATTTTGCATCTACTATATACCAGACCCTGTGTTAGGTCCTAGAGATTCAAGAGCAAGCAGCCTGGCTCTCAAAAGCCTCACAATACAGTGTTGATGATGATGATGCCAACGACAATGATGGCCCATAAAAAGCCCAGGACTTAAAAGGCAGAATGAATTAGTGCCCACCTGGGACTTGGCCTTGGTCTCTTCTCCGCATCATGCTACTCCCACTGCAAGGCCTGTGTCTCCCCAGCCCACATCCCTTGCAGGGACTTTCTGACTCCCCCGTGTTGAGCATGCTCAGGGTTATTGCTTTCTAGAAGCCTAAACTGCCAGAATTGGCTCTTCTTCTGGCCCTCGTGGGAGAAGGCAAGGTGCGTGACTAAAGACTGAGGGCACATCTCGGTCTTTAGTGGATTCTCAGCTTGAAATAAGCTGAGAATTTCCAAACGGAATGATGTTATATTTTCATCTTTGTACCTATGTGAAACTGAATTTTTAAAAGAATGATGATGATTTTGTTAATACACTGAAACAAGTGAGAAATTTGAGCTCCCTTCACATCGTACTGTCAATTGTGATAATTGATAGTAATCATTACTATTATCAAATAATAATAGGCAACATTCATTGGGCATTTGGTGACAAGCATTGTCTTAGCATGTTTAATGCATTAACAAATCTAATCCTCATGACAAATCTACTAGGTAATATTATTTCCCTCATTTTGAAAGTGAAGAAACTAAAGCATAGATAAATTAGTTCATTTTTGTCCTCCTAACTCACACACATGGGAAGTGTCTGAGTTTTTATCTTTTAATTTTGAAGTAATTAAAGATGGATGGAAAGATACAGAAAGAACAGAAAGAGATACTGTGTATGCCTCATTCAGTTTTCCCCGCTGGTAGCATTTTACATAACTATAGTACAATATCACAACCAGGAAATTGACTTGGGTACAATCCACAGACTTTATTAAGATTTCATCAGTTTTATGTGTACGTGTGTGTGTGTGTACTTTATGCATTGCATAATCAAGACACAGAACGGATCCTTCACCACAAAGATCTACCTCATGCTGCCCCTTCACAGTCACGCTTACTCCTTTTTCTGCCGCCTCTAACCCTACACAATCACTAATCTCTTCCCCATCTCTATACTTCTGTTATTTCAAGAATGCTATACACATGGAATCATATCGTATAATCTCATCTTCTGAGACTGGCTTCTTTCTCTCAGCAGAAGGTCCTGGAGATTCATCCAAGTCACGTGGTGCAGGATCCTTGCTTTTTCTTGCTGAGCGGGATTCAACAGCGTGGATGTGTCACAATTTGTTTTACTGTCTACGCATTGAAGAACATCCATGTTGTCTTAAGTGTTTGGCTGGTATGAATAAAGTTGCCATGAACATTCATGTACAGGTCTTTGTGTGGACAGAATTCCACTTTTCTCTGGAAAAAAAAAAAAAGCTCAGGAATGCAGTTTTTGGGTTGCGTAGTAAGTGTATGTTTAATTTTTTAAGAAACTGCCAAAGTGTTTTTCAAAGTGGTGGTAGTATTTTACATTCCAAATAGCAGTGTGTGAATGATCTCATTTCTCTGCATCCTTGACAGCGTTTGATGTCATTGCTATTGTTTATTTTAATGTTCTAGTAGGTACGTAATAATATCTCACCATGTTTTTAATTTGCATTTTCCTAATAGCTAATGATGTTGAACGTTTTTTTGTTGTTGTTGAGACAGAGTCTCCCTCTGTCGCCCAGGCTGCAGTGCAGTGGTGCAACCTCACTGCAACCTCCACCTTCCAGGTTCAAGTGATTCTCGTGCCTCAGCTGCCTGAGTGGTTGGAACCACAGGCTTGTGCCACCACGCCCAACTAATTTTTTTAAATTTTTAGTAGAGATGGGGTTTTGCCATGTTGGCCAGGCTGGTCTCAAACTCCTGGCCTCAAGCAATCTGCCCGCCTCGGCCTTCCAAAGTCTTGGGATTACCGGCATGAGCCATGACGCCCAGCTGTGATGTTGAACATACTTCTGTGTGCCCATTTGCCATTTAAATACCCTCTTTGGTGAACTGTACTATCAGTCCACGTCTTTTGTCCATTTTTAAATTGATTTTTAGATTTTTTTAACTGTTCAGTTTGAGAGGTTTTTTTAAATTTATTTTTATTTTATTTTATTTTTTGACATAGTTTTGCTCTTGTTGCCCAGGCTGGAGTGCAATGGCATGACCTTGGCTCAGTGCAACCTCTGTCTCCCGGGTTCAAGTGATTCTCCTGCCTCAGCCTCCTGGGTAGCTGGGTTTACAGGCATGCGCCACCATGCTCGGCTAATTTTGTATTTTTAGTGGAGATGGGGTTTCTCCATGTTGGTCAGCCTGGTCTCGAACTCCTGACCTCAGGTGATCCGCCCACCTTGGCCTCCCAAAGTGCTGGGGAGAGTTCTTTATATATTTTAGATATGATTCTTTTGTCAGATACCCACATCTTTTTTTTGTTTGTTTGTTTACTGACTATATGCAAGGCACCGACACAGCACCTGAGGATTTGGCAATGAACAAACATCATTGTCCCTGCCTACACAAAGTTTATTCTCTGATCGGGAGGGAGACGTTAACAACTACCCTGTTAGAAATTTTTAGCTGTGGTCATAAAGGATTCTGAGGGAGAACTGTGGGTGCTATGAGAACAGATGATGGCAAGAGGGACCTTGCCTAACCAGGGGAGTTGGGAACCCTGGAGCTGAACCAAGATCTGAAAGAGCAGGATATGACCAGGAGCAGGCGCGTGCCAGGTGTGTGCCAGGGGCAGGTAGGAGCGCAGTTCCTGTAGCTCTCCACGTGGCTGCACGTCATCCCCCTGCTCTTACTAGAAGCTCATTTTTCATCCCTGATAAGAAAGTGCACCAAGAACAATAAAGAAACCACAGAACTTTGTATTCATCTTTGAGATCAAGTCCTCCCTCTGCCGCCCTCCCTCTCTATCTCTCAACAATCAGAAAATACATTTCAAATTTTTTGCCATCATGAAACTTGTTACATTAAGATTAAAAAAAAATTAATTAAGCCAAAAGAAGGACTATTTGTTTCCTTTATTACACAATCCTTCATCGAGCTCGGGAACAAGTACCTTATTATAGGAGGAAGGTGGTAACTTCATTTACAACAGAATTGGATTCATAAATAATATCCTCCCTACAAATTTAATTTTGAAAAATTGAGTAATTTCATAAAACATCTACAATCGATTTCTATTTGTGCAGTACCCCCACAGAAGCATAGCAAAAGGCAAGAGTATAAAACGTGAAAAATATCTTTGATGATTTCTGTTTAACTTTTATCCTACCTTTTACAGATAGAATTACTCCAAGTGTTTCCTCTATTGTCAGTTTCTTAATTTGCATGCGAAGTTTAAGGTTGCAGATTTCCTTCTTCCCTTGCTAGCCATCATTACCAGCTAGCTCCTTTGGAAACCACTTCATCAACAGAATTTAAGATGATCAGTGTCCAATATACATAACTTCAAATTAAAGTGAAATCTCCCACTGGTGTTCTCACTGTAAAAGCAATAAATAGGGACCATTTCTCTCAGTCAAAATTTTAGAAGCAAATAAAAGAGCCCCATGAGGCGGCATATCTGAGCATTTGTGAGTTTCCTTTGGATTTGGAATCAGTGCTTCCTGAACTGAACTAAGACCACATGGTATGACACCAAGATACAACGTTCTAATCAAGACTATGCCGGAAAGCTCAGGAACTAGGATTATCATACCCAACGCATTTGATTTGCTAGTCACTGTTGCCCCAACCACATCCTGCGTTTTCCCTCCTCTCTGGCCTTGTTCAGGATATGTTTCTCCTCTATGCTTTCATCAGGAGAAATTAGATCAAGATGAAGCGCATAGGTGCTTGGTCCCAGGAAGGTATTTTCTTCCCTAATGTTGGGATTCAAAAAGCTACTCGGCTCTTCTCTTTTGTTCACCTAAGCTCACCACAATATGAATATTCCTGCACTGCTGCCTCTGTAAGATTTGGGCTAAAACCCAAGAAAAGCAACAAGTATTTTGAAAGTGTTATAGAACTGAACTGGGGTCCACTACTCCACGGAGTAGGACCAGATATGCACACCGAGGTTTGCAGCAGTAGAAAGGAAGGTGTTTCTTTGCAAAGCGCCAAGCAAGGAGGACCAGGCAGCTGATGCTCAATCCTGACCTCCCTGATGGCTTGCAAGTAAGAGTTTTTAACGGGATGGGTAAGTTTTAGGAAAGCAGAAGCCACGGGCAAAATTGCAAATCAATACGTGGAGGTTACACATTGGCTCTGGCCTGAAAGAGCGGAATGACTTGAAGTGAGGGCTTACAGGTCAGAGGTAGACTCAAAGATTTTCTGATTTGCAATCACTTAAGGAAGAGAAGCTTTGTTTACAAATTTGGGGTCAGTAGAAAAGAATGTTGTCTCTGGCTCGTGAGTGTGACTCCCTCCAGGACCCTCAGGAAGAAATTTAGAACAAAGAATGGCAGTCAGAGTTGCGTCCTCAGTTTCCCCTTAGCTGAGGTCTACAGGCCAGTGGATGTCTTTGGTGGGGGTCTAGGATTCTGAAGAGCAACCCAGGGACATATGTTAAGATGTTATCTTTAATTTCTATAAGAAAACCAAACATCCCATGATTCTAGCTTCCTTGGTTATTGTTTTAAGCTGCTATCATCTTCTTGTTCATCAAGTTGCTTATTTATTTCTCAGGACTAGCTAGGTGCCTGGAATTTCCTGTAAAGGAAATCAAGATTTTCCTTTATTTTCATGCAGGGGTTGGGGGGGTGCCCCTAAGAGGGGTCCCTGCTCCATCTCCAAGGTGTAAAATGTCATATAAAAGGCTGGTAATGATGCTGATGTTCTGGTGGTGAGGTCTGCTCAACGGCCCTTAAAGGACAGAAAGAATTCACTGTGAATTCATCAAAGTTTCTTTCCTAGAAAATCAGTGAGACCCCTCAGTGGCATATGTCGTCATATCTTCTGATTCCAGATGAGATTCTCCCTTCTGAAATAATAGCGTTTACCAAACAGCACACAGTAGAGTTTAAAGAGAAAAATTGAACAGAGCAAAACTTGTCATGTAGCTTCTGTTTGTGCTCCATGCAGAGTCTTTTTGTAGGATGGATTAAATATTGCATAAATTGTGCAGTCATTTCTGCTTTTATCTGATCTTATTTTTATTGAATCTATAGCTGAAGAATCTATCAACTGTTTCCAAATTTAGAGATATGGAAGACTGATTTAAATCTTTAATTTCTTAACATGTCATGTAAGTGTGCAGTAGTCTTGTGACCATTAAGAAAAAAATTCCACTTTGATTCTTGGAGCCGCTTGAGACCCACACAGTTCTTTCTCCATCTAATTCTAATTACAATCATTGGTACGTGATGTAAGTTAGTGAGAGTACATTTTCAGCACAGCCTTTCAGCAATCTGCCTTTCTTTAGACATTCTGGGGGTGCTTTATTGGAACGTTTTAAATGACCATGTTGGATAATTCTCTAAGCTAAAATCATCCACAAAAGTATAAGACAGAGAATACTGGAACCATAGCTGTCCACCAGTCTTTATGTGGGTGCAGACTTTGGGAAAGTTCCTGGTCCTGCCTGGAGAAACTTCCTGCAGAGGTTGATGAACTTTTAATCAAACAAACGTTCTTGTTGTAGCTTTTAAGTGTCTTCCTTTGTAGTATAACAGAGAGTTGAAGATTGAAGGCTCTGGGCCCAGGCTGTGTGGGTTAAAATTCTGCTTTTACTGCTTCCTAGCTGTGCACCCTTGAGCAACTTACTTAAGGTCTTTGGACCTTAGTACCCTGATCTTAAAAATGTGTATTATAACAATAGCACTTAGCTCATACAATTGCTGGGAAGAGAAAATGAGTTAAATCATGTAGAGTGCTTCAAACACAATATATATGCAGTAATGTTAGCTATTACTCTTACATTCTGCCCTTATTAGTCTGTTTTTGCATTTCTTTTAATTTTTATTTTTATAAAATAATACATGTATCTTTCTTTTAAAATTTTCAAATAATTCTTTGAGGATTTTAGGTTTTACCCAACTTCTCTCCACCCCAAGTTCCCACTTATGTGAGGCTGCCACATTCAACTCTCTTCTTCTTTTTTCTGCTTTCATAAATGTTTGTTCTGAATATTCTTCCAATTTTTAACATGGTGGTTTAGCTTCCAAATGTAGAAAATAAAGATTTATCTCTCATGATTTGTGCATCAACATCTAGACAGTTTATGAGCTTGGCTATAGCATATATGTATATGTATGTATTATATGTTGTTATATATTATATACTATTATAGCCAAGCTAATAAAATATACATATGTTTATGTGTATCTGTTTGAGGCATTTTGTATACTGTGAGTATATTTCTTCTCTTTAACTTTTTCCCTTGCAGTTCTTAATTGAATGATTTTAACATTTGCTTATTTTTGTATTTGTATCTTCCTAACTTAGCCCATACCCTTCAACAGATGAAAATCTCCCCTTGATGGGTTCAACCATCTAGATCATCTATTTCTTTCACTTTTTTATTTCTTTGCAGACATTCCTTTTGGAGTCTTCTGTTCTGCTGCAACATGGATTGATTACGTCCCAGGCTTTCTGGGATCTTCCTTCATCATCCTCCTGGAAATTTCCTTCAGTTCTTTTCTGTATTGGATCCTCTGTTTCCTCACCTCATTTTTTCTTTTTGTATGTGTGTTCTTTCTGATTTTATTGAGCCAAAACCTTCATTAGCAGCTTCAGAAATGATGCAAGAGGCTGGGAGCACTCATGCTTTTAATCCCAGCACTTTGAGAGGCTGAGGCAGGCGGATCACCTGAGGTCAGGAGTTTGAGACCAGCCTGGCCAACATGATAAAACCCCATCTCTACCAAAAATACAAAAAAAATTAGCCAGGCGTGGTGGCACATGCCTGTAATCTCAGCTACTCCAGAGGCTGAGGCACAAGAATCACTTGAGCTGGGAGACAGAGGTTGCAATGAGCCAAGATCGCACCACTGCACTCCAGCCTGGGAGACAGAGTGAGACTCCATCTCAAAAAGAAAGAAAAAGAAATGATGCAAGATTGCCACAAATTTGTGACCTTGTATGTTTGAAAATGCCTGTCTACTGCCCTTTTCTTGATTGAGATTTACTGAGTATGGAATTCTAAGTATCAATTTATTTCCTTTCTGGACTTTGAATGTACTTCTCCATTCTATTCTAGGTATATTGCAGTGTTGCTAAGGAGAAGTCTGAAGCTTTTTTGATTCCCCATCTTTTTATTTTGATCTATCTTTTCTCTTTGGAAGCTTTTAGTATATTGATTTTGCATCTGGTATTTTGACGTCTTACAATAATATGACTTGACCTTGTGACTTTTAAAATGATTTTTGCTGGCTATCTGGTGGAATCTCTCAGTCCAAAAGTTCACGTTTTCTCAGATTTGGGAATAATATTTATTTGCTCATTCATTCCCTCCCATTTTCCCTCTTCTCTCTCTCTGGACCACCTGTTACTCAGATGTTGGACTTCCTAGACTAATCTTTTAATCTTCTTATATTTGATCTCATATTTTCCAAATGTCTACCTTTTACAGAGATTTCTCCAAATTTATGTTTCAACCCTTCTATTTATTTCTTCCCTCCTGATACCATATTTTAATTTTAATGAGTTCTTTTATATTGTTATTTCAGTTTCTTCTCACTCCTCAAAGTCTTGAAGGTTAATAATTATAGCAATAGATTTTAAGTGGTCTTCTGCCTTCTTCATTGATTTTGTTTCTGTTTGCTTTTGTCTCAGTTTTATATGCTAGAATATTTCCTCTCATGTCTGTGATTTTTACTGTTCATTCATTTTTAAGCCAGAAATACACAAGGTCTATGTGGGAGCTCTGAGAACACGAGTGGTATTTATCAAGCAGTGAGCTTCATTTCAGGGTCACGGTCTAGGGATCAGATGGTTTCATTAAAAGACTCCAAAATATTAGTAACTGGAAATCTTTTCTCTTGTGTTTCTCCAGAAAGCAATCATCCAGGCTCTTGCTTAAAAGGTATGAAGCTGGTTGCTACTTTTTAGGGAAATGAATGGGGACAGAGGCTCACCACTGGATATGTAAACTTGAACTTAATTCCCTACTTTCAGTTGAGCCAATTGTATGTGGATATCCCAGAGCTCTTGCTTGTCTACACATATTCAGAATCTAACTGCTTCTGATACAGACTTGCTATCAGTTCCCCTATTGTCAACCCCACCTGTGCCTTTGCCTTCAGAAGTGCCTGGTGCTATTCGTGTCTGAGCTCTTTGAGGGTCCTGTGGCTCAAACATGCTTGCTTTCTGTCTTAATTCCCACCCTCCACATGCTCTTTCCATCCTCCACACAGGCACGCTTTCAGCTTCCTTTGGGTGTCCTAAGTAAGCTGCCATTTGTCCATCTGTTGCTTACTTCTAAAATTATATGGACTTCTCTGTCTCTTATAACTTTTTCTCCCATTTTCTCTGTTCTTGTGCAGTTTTGTCCTCGTTATCCTTTACTATCATTTAAGTGAGATTTCCAGAGAATTGTAAAACTTCTGCCAAGCCTTACCAGATGTTTCTCCTTAAGTTTCAAAAGAAGATTCCAACCCTACTCCTGCCCATTTGATTGTCAAAGCAGTGCAATAGAGTTGATTGAGAGGCAGCAGATCATGGTGGTGGAAAGCAAAGTTCTCCAAGAATGGACAGATGATCCACTGACATTAGAAAACTATTAAATTTCCATGTATATTTTAATCCAAAAATATAAAGAATTTAGATTCACACTGTTAATATTCTAATTTTTCATGTTTGATGCTGGATTGATCCATTTGTCAAGATGGTCACAGATTACACATAGTGCCCAGGACTTCCTGGTACCAGAGGAGTATAGGGAACTCCCTGACATAGCAAGCTGGACAGTGGGGCTGCACGCATTCTCTTTCAGAATGTTTAAATACATCACCCTTTGATAGTGCTCCAAGTTAGCTTGATCTGGCTAGTTTCATTACAACAATACTAAAATAATGCAATATTTACTAAGCTTTATAATGACAGAGAATTTCTATGAAAACTTTTTTGTTTCATAATGAAATTTTCTGTTTGTATTATAGCAAAATCCTCAGAAATGTTGACCTTAAGGATGTTATACATTTATGTTTTTCTTTTGCAAAAAGTCAAGCAATATAAGCTGTGGCCTTCTCTGTTACAACAGAGGCTGTCAGAATGTGGTACTAAGCAAATATTACACACAAAGAAACAAACAGATTCTATCCAATAAAGGGAAAGGTGATGTTTTCATGAGTGAGAAAATAACGTATTTTTAAAAGGAACTGGTGATTCATAGAGAACATTTTGAAACTACATGTTTTAAAATATTTCTAGTATTATATGAATATTTTCACTGAAAAAAATGCTACATGTTAAAACTCATACCTAAACTCTTTTTCAGAAATTAGAAACAAATTTTGTAACCAGTTTAAAGATATTCCTGAAATGAAGAGCTTTAGTAGGTTTTGAATCCATTCATGAAACATATATAAATATCTGACCTTCTGATTAGTTTGCACCTGAGTTCAAGAAAATTTGAAATTTACTAGCTGGGCTATCACAAAAATCTTTGACTAATTGGTGGATGAGATTGAAAAAAATGATTATCGTTATTTAATAAGAAACTCAGATATACATATTGCATTTTGATCCCCATGTCTTTGTATAGAATATTTTTTAGTCGTGAGTATCTGTGTCAAAGGAAACTTAAGTTACATTCAGATCTTTGGATCACTGTATCATAAACTAGCAAACCAAGGTTTTAAAAAATAATGATGTGTTATTCATAATATTAGTGATAGCAGAAGATTGTACTAGTAATAAAGAAAAAATTTAAATATTATTTTATTTCCTCTTTAGGTTTTTCATCCTTTAAAATATATGTTTTAGCGGTTTCACAATGGACATAATAGTATTTATTCATTAATACATAATTTACGTAAAAGTGACTCACATATACTAGAAGTGCATGCTCAAGTTTTATTTTAGTGTTTGGAGTGTATGAATTTAATAAAACACAAAGACTGAGTTTACAGCCAAGGATTTAGAGTAGACTGACCTTGATTCTAAGCTCAGCTTTGTTACTTATTAGCAATGTGAACATGGGAAAATTCACATCCAATTTTCTATTTTTTCCATTGTTTCTTTACTTAAATAATATTCAGGGGGTGGAAAAAATGGGACGAAGTTAGTCAAAGGGTACTCACTTTGAGTTGTAAAATCAGTAACTTCTAGAGACCTAATGTACAGCATGGTGACTGTACTTAATAGCAATGTATTGCATTCTTGGATTTTGCTAAGGGAGTAGATCTTAGGTATTCTCGCCATACACACACACACAAAGGTAACTCTGTGAGGTGATGGATATGTGAATTGACTTGATTGCAGTAATCATTTTACAATGTGTGCACATATCAAAACATTACATTGCATACCTTGAATACTCACATTTTAAAATGTGTCAATTACACATCCGTAAAGCTGAAAAAATACTCAAGCATCAAAAAATATATACAATATGTGTAAACTGTTTAATTAAATGCCTAGAAAATAGTAACTGCAAAATAATTGGCATCTGTTGTAAAGGTATGTATGAAATGATAATGAAGATTCTGTTGACAGTGATGATGGTGATGCAGCCTGCAAATCTGCCCTTATGTAATAGAAGGGAACATCTGTATTCCACATCCTTTCAGAAGTGAGCATTGTGAACTCTCCAAGGCCCCTCTTTTATTAAAATGATGTTCCTGGTAAATCTTCTAAAGAGAGACTGCAAATATGTGCAGTGAGTCCTGCTTTCCATCGCTGCAGTGGTGTCAGTAACTGTGCCCTTCTTCCTAAGGCTGGACCTCTGGCACAGCCCCAGCATCTTGCAGGTAGTACTCCAGAAAGCCACAGCTGTAGTGAGCAGAAGGGAGTGAAGACAGAAAGGGAAAGTGGGAGGGCAGCCTGTCTGGGCCCCTGTGGCAGCTTCCAAAAATCATCTCCCACAAATGCTTACCCTCTGTGCTGTAGATGCTTCCCAAATACACTTTGTGATTTGAATGTTCTTGAAACGCCCGTGCCTTGCCTAATGCTCCCTTTGCTCTTCATGTTGGGAATACTTAGCTCATCAGATCCTGCAAACTAACTTCCATGGAAGAAAAAAAAAGAAAAAGAAAAGAAAAATAAAGAAAAAAGAAAAAAAACTAGAGGGTACAATTACCTGGCTGCTGATTCAGACTTAGAGAGTGTTCAATTCCTCCTTTGTTCTTGGATTACTCTCTCCTGTCCAAAAGCGATGAACTTTGCCAGCTCATTGGGCCCCTTGTGCTATAGTGTTAAGGAAAACTTACCCTAATTTGTTTTTTACTTATGACCACTACAAGTATTTTAGCTAATTAGTGTCTCTTTTTTGTTCTGGCTACCAGGAAGCTCAACAACTAACATAGTCTGTATTTTGCAACTTCAAAGGTACCTTTCATGCATTTAGAGGACTAAGTTTTGCCTCCAGCTACTTTTCATCATCATCATCAGCATCATCATTATTTTGCCTGTTTATTTAATTTTATATTATTACCTGCATATTACATATTTTTATGAAATACCCCAAAATCAAGTTGAATAAAACAAAATGAAAACATAAGCCTGTGAATTTTCCTAACACAAAGAAAAAGAACTTCTCTTGAAATATTTAATGGATAATTGCTCAAGCCTCCATTGCATTGATAAGAAATGGGAACATTGTGGCGAGTAAATGCAGGAATTTGTAAGGTCAGTTGGAGAATAGAAGCAGACACCCAACCCACACGATGGTGAGCAACCTTCCAATCCCAGACGGCCGTGGTGCTCTCTGGACAAGAATGTGAGAGGGTGGGATTGGTGGGCAAAGGGCAGGAGGGACACCCCCTCTGTTCATTTATTTTGAGATCTGTTTGCCCCATCACACTAAATAAATACAATAAGTGAATGCTATTTTATCTGGTAAAGGAACCCATCTGTCTTAGTCCATTTCTGTGTTGGTATTAAGAACACCTCAAGCTGGGTAACTTATAAAGAGGTTTATGTAGCTCATAATCTTGCAGGCAGGGAAGTTCAAGAGCGTGGCCCTGACTTTTGGCAAGGCCTTTCTTGCTGCATCACATCATCTCAGAGAAGGTCGACGGGGAAGTGGACACATGTCAAGGGTGGAAATATTGAGGGGTGTCCTGGCTCTGTAACAACCCACTCTCTTAGGAACTAATCTGTTCCCATGAGAACTAATGCAGTCTTGCAAAAGAGAGAACTCACTCACTACCTCGAGAATAGCACCAAACCATTCATGAGGGGTCTGTCCTATGACCCAAACACTTTTCACTAAGCCCAGTTCTCAATGCCATCACACTGGGGATCAAATTTCAACATGAGTTTTGGTGAGACAAACACACTATATCCAAACCATAGCACCATTGTTAACAATCCAAATATACAATGATTCTTACAAGAGTTCATCTCGATGGGGAATGTAGCAGGGACAGGGATTATTACAAGAGCATCTTAGAAAAGAGAGGGCATCTGGAGTGAGATGTGAAGCAAAGGAGAGAAAACAGAAATGGAAAGTGGGAGGGCAGCCTGTCTGAAAGGGAAAGTGGGAGGGCAGCCTGTCTGGGCCCCTGTGGCAGCTCCCAAAAATCATCTCCCACAAATGCTTACCCTCTGTGCTGTAGATGCTTCCCAAATACACTTTGTCATTTGAATGTACTTGAAATGCCCGTGCCTTGCCTAATGCTCCCTTTGCTCTTCATGTTGCTCTTCAAACTGACTTCCATGGAAGAAAAAAAAATCCAGAGGGTACAATTAGCTGTCCACCGTGCCCGGCTAATTTTATATTTTTAGTAGAGACGGGGTTTCACCATGTTAGCCAGGCTGGTCTCGAACTCCTGACCTCAAGTGATCCACCCAACTCAGCCTCCCAAAGTACTGGGATTACAGATGTGAGCCACCGTGACTGGACCAAACATTTTTACTGAGCTCTCAGTGAGCATGAGATGGTCAGTTTTGCTGGGCTGGTGGTCCAGGGAAGTAGAACTCACCCTTGGAAGAGAAAGCGATATGCTGAATGGGAAGATCTAACTTCCTTAACCTCGTGAGAAACTTGCTTGGAAGCCCCAGCTCACTAGCTAAAACTCACAGCTTTCTTTATGATAGATTCATCAAAATTCTCTTTTAAATCTGAAGGGCATCATATAATAAATTTTTCTCATACAACTAGCCTTTCTTAGGTAATCAAAGACCTTCAGTGCTAAGGGCCCATTGAGGGGCTCTCTGCTCTAATACCCTCATTTTACAGCTGAGGAAGCAGAGATCCAGGCCATTAAACGATGCATCTAAGATCACACGGATCTTAGGGGCAGAGTCGAGCCCAGAGCTGGCCTTTTGAAGTCTAGTTCAGTCACTATTCTCAACAACACCTGACCTCCTGAAATCTCGGATCCTGGACCTGAGTCAGCATAGAGTTCATCTGCACTGGTGACTCTGTATCTGTTCTCAGCTCAGCTAATACCTGGGGAACGATTAATGGCTCTTCTCAAAACCATGGTCCCTAATTGTACCTCTCAGGAAGTACAGATGACTCAGCTGCCCAACCTGCCGCATGCTCAAATGAATCAGAGTGAGGTGTTTTGAGCAGTTTCATTGTGTGAAAAGACTGTCAGTTGCCTGGTTACCAGAGTGAAAAATATAAAGTAATTGTGCTTCTCTATAGCCATGGGGGAAAGGTATTTAATTGTCACCGTGCAATCTGAGAATTAGAGTCAAAGGCCAAGTTCCTGACAGATAGATTTGAAACATTTGTTACTTTCTGCAGCTTTGTCTTGCCGTGTTATTGGCATAGGTCATGCAGAGACAGGCCAGTGGAGAAGAGAGTAGCAATTATATTAATGATAGATAGATAAAATCGTATGAGCCCTTACTATGGACTAGGTAGGATCTGAGTACATGATCTTTGAAACTTTATAAGAAGTTTTTGAGATAGGTGCTCTTATTATGCCCATTTTACAGATGAGGAAACTGAGGATGAGAAAGGTTATCCAAAATGGCAGACCTCATAAGAGTGCATAGGGTAGGAATTTATACTCAGGTTGCTACAACTCAAGAGTGCAGCTCCTAACTACAACCCTATTCAGCTTCTCTGTAAATGTCAGAGTGTGGTGTGTATCAGCCAATCCTCCTGTAGGAACACCGGCCTGTTTTCTAAATGCTGGATACTGGTTAAGTTGTGAATCAAAGCAGAGGCAGTCTGCCTTGTTCCTTCTTGACTTTCATTGGAAGAGCCTGCTCAGCCCAAGGGAGTTAATGAGGCTTCCCTACCCTTCTTTCTCCTTATTCCAGAATGCAGCCAAGGATTACATCTAGAGAGGTTTCCTGGTATAAAAGTATTTTATGGAAATTAAGTGATTGGGTTGTAGCCCAGGCTTAACCACTGGCTCTCACATGACTTTGGAAAAGGCGGTTCCCCAGCCCTCAATTTCCTCATCTCTAGAATGGATTGTTGAATAGGCAGTTTCTAAGTTTTTCGAGCTCTTAAACAAACAAGAAAAAAAAAAACCCAAACCAAAATACTCCAAAATTTGAAATTACATCATAACCTGATGGGAAGAACACAGATTCTGGAGATAGCTCACCTTGGTTTGAGCCCCAGCACCTTCACATCTTGTGTGAATTTTATTAAGTTAATCTTCATAAACCTCAGATATTACATTTGTAAAAATAGAGTGATCTACCTCATAGAGTCATTAGGAGGATTAGACATGCTACCATGTGTGCAATGCACAGCACAATGCCAGCTACAAGTACATAAATGTCCAATAAATGTTAACCGTCATCAACATCATCATCAATGGGAGATATGGGATTAAAACTAGTCTAGAACTCAATACTAAGTATATGTGTAAAACATATCCTTGATCAAATACTGACATACACATTTTTCCAGAGGACAGAGGCAGATATATAGGTCTGGAGGTTCATGGAGTGGGGATTTGCCATTAGTGCTTCTGAATGAGGGCAGAGAATGGTTTGTTGTGAAGGAGATGGCAGGAGAGTCAGGCATGATTGCAAGCTGTGGAGATAGAGGGTGGGAGCCCCTGGCCAGATGGATAAACCTGAGCCTGGCTGGCGTTTCTGCCTGTATATTCCCATATTCATGGGCGAGCATTTATTTTAAATGAAGTGTTAAGGATGCCTGATCCCTCCACTTGTGTTAAGACTGATTACTGATCTTTGATGGGAAAGCTGCTTTGATCTGTGATAAAGTCAGCCAGGCAGTCAGCATCCCAAATTGCTTCTACATATTTTCTGATGACTTCACGCGGAGGCTTTTCTTGGACAAGTCTCAGTATAACAACAGCAGCAGAGGAGAGGAAGGCAAAGGTCCCTGCTTATCCCTGGTAAACAGCACGTGTCTCATGGCATGCATCTGGGCACCCCATTGTTACAAGTTCAGCAGCCTTCAAAAGTCAGTGAGCCTGTGGACTACATCCCTCCTGCAGCAAGGAGGCAGGACTGTAACGGGTGGGACCTGTGCCTACTGCTAAATCAAACATCTGCAGCCTCTTGGTTAACCCCCATTCTAGTATATTTTTCTAGCATTTCTTTCTGGCTCCTTTAGGATTAGCATAGCTTGAGAGAAGAGGAAAGCAAAGTTTTTCTTATCTTTATTCTGAGTGCCTGGCAGACTTATCAATTGAACAAAATTGAATTGTCCTCAACTGTGGGCATTTTATTGACATCTTTGAACAGTTGGAGCATTTTATTAATATTTTATATATATACACAGTTGGCACTCCATATTTCTGGGTTTCACATTCATAGATTCAACCAATCAAGAATTGAAAATATTCAGGAAAAAACGGTTAATTGTGTCTGTACTGAACATGTACAGACTTAAAAAATTATCGTTGTTCCCTAAACAATACAGTATAACAGCTATTTACATAGCATTTACATTGTGTTAGAGATTATAAGTAATCTAGAGATAACAAAGTATATAGGAGGATGTGTGTAGGTTATATGCAAACACCATGCTACTTATCTACGGGAATGGAGCATCCTCGGATTTTGGTATTTGAGGAGGATCTTGGAACCAATCCCTCATGGATACTGAGGGGCAACTCTGTATGTGCATGTGTTATTCCTAGTGCTCGGCCCACCAGGTGTGAATTTGGAAGGGTTGCCAATTCAGGTGAGGAAAAGTGAGCTAAGAGACATCCTCAGGGGAGGATGAGGACTTGGGGGGAATTTGTGGGTTCCCTGACAGCCTCACACTGGTTGCCAAACCCTTCCCTCTTTGGAATGTGCCATGGCAAGGCATTTATTTCCTCACATGGTGATCATTTTCACTCACACATAGGGTGTGTCCAAGGGTATTCCACTCTACAATGATTAATAATGATTAGCCATCATTGGGGGTTGGGAGGGACCAGGCTCTGTGCCGAATGGCACTTATTTGCACTCTCTCATTCGATACTCTCAGCAAGCAGGCAATCTCATCCCATTTTAAAAAGTGAGAAAACTGAAGTTCGACTTGGTTCAGAGGCTTGCTGAAATTTGAATAGCTGGCAACTGGCAGAATGGGATTTGACTCCATATTGGGTGACCCTGTGACCCCCCACCCCTTACTCTTTGTAACCACCATTTTATATTTGACATTTTGGGGTGTTTTTCGATTTCACATGTAAGTGAGATCATCTGGTATTTGTCTTTTTGTGTCTGGCTTATTTCATATAGCATAATGTCCTTCAGGTTCATCTATCTTGTCACAAATGACAGGATTTCCGTCTTTTTTCAGGCTGACTATTCCATTGCATATATACACCACAATTTCTTTCTCCACTCCCCTGTGGTTGAACACTCGCGTTGCTTCCACATCCTGGCTCTTCTGAATAGTGTTGCTGTGAACATGGGCGTGCAGACATCTGATGAGCTTGTGATTTCATTTCCTTTGGGTATATATCCAGCAGAGGGATTGATGGGTCATAATGATCATTTGAGTTTTAATTTTGGGGGTATCTCCATACTGTTCTCCATAATAGCTGTACCAATTTACACTCCCCCCACAACAATGAAAAAAGGGTTTCCTTTTCTCCACCTCCTCATCTATACTGTCTTTTTGATGATAGTCACTCTAATGGGTGTGAGGTGATATCTCATTGTGGTTTTGATTTGCATTTCTCCAATGATGAGTGAGGCTGAGCACCTTTGCATATACCTGTTGGTCATTTGTATGTCTTCTTTGGAAAAACATGCGTTCAGATCCCACTTTCAGCCTTTCTTGATCCTCCTACCCTCATAATAAGCATCGTTCTCCCTGGGGGCACACCATTCCTTCTTGCACCACAATACTGATTCTTTTCTTTTCTATGCTCTTTCACTTCTTTTATTTTGAGAAATATAATATTCTGAGTGGGAATGAACAACTGCTAACATGTTCATATTTTCTTTCTTTTTTTTTTCTTTTGAGACAGAGTGTTACTCTGTCATCCAGGCTGGAGTGCAATGGCACAATCTTGGCTCACTGCAACCTCCGCCTCCCAGGTTCAAGTAATTCTCCTTCCTCAGCTTCCCAAGTAGCTGGGATTACAGGCACCCACCACCATGCTTGGCTAATTTTTGTATTTTTAGTAGATATGGGGTTTCACCATGTTGGTCAGGCTGGTCTCGAACTCCTGACCTCAGGTGATCCACCCACCTCGGCCTCCCAAAGTGCTGGGATTATAGGAGTGAGCCACCGCGCCCAGCCCGTATTTTCTTCGAGTCTATTTTTAATTAAAAACGAAAGCATTATAGATGGATATGTGTGTATTCATATATAATATATACTATGGTTCTGCGTGTTTAAATTCTAATGTCTCATACTATAAGCAAATAAAGTCTGGTTCAATCATTTAAACTGCCCCTGTGGTATTCTATCCTATGAGTATGCCCAATTCAATCATTCTCCTACCTAGCTAGCTTCTCATTGTTATATGCATTGGATATCAGGGATTTGTCATATGTGTTGCAAATATGATAGCATCTAATTATATAATTAATATATCTCTTCTTCCTCTACGTAGCTATAAACTCTTTCGGGGCAAAAATCATGTCGGATTTTTCTCTGTGTTCCCAACACTTACTGAGTATTATACCAGATACAGAATGACCATTTGTTGGAATGTAATGGAACAGGGCTGGAATGTGGAGGACTCTTCAGAGGAGATGCTATGCCTGACTAGTGTAGTGATTTTCCACTTAGGAAGGGATTTCTCTCAGGAAATCATACGAGATTATAAAAAAGCCCTATCAAAAAGAACAGTAATGGAGATGTTCTCTAATGAACTGTTCAACTCAGTAGACACTAGTCACATGGGACTGCTAAGCGCCTAGAATGTGGCTAGTCTTATTAAGAAACTGAATTTTAAATTTTATCTAATGTTGATTAATTTAAATTTAAATAGCCACATGTGGCTTGTGACAGTTATAGCAGCAGGAGTTAAAGGAACATCTAATATCTGATGATAGTGGGAAATAGAGGATTTTACTGATGTGTTCTTACGTGATCATTTTGGTACTTATTAATGATGAGTACTTTAATAAATATTTTGCAAGTATCAGCCTCTGGGTGCCAGACAGTTTCTTCACCTACAGAGTACAGCCCTTGATGCTTACTTTATAGGATTACTGATGGAGTTAAATAGGGTAATTATGCAAAGCCCTTGAGCCTCATGCTCAATACAGACGGCAGCTGTCAGAGTTCTCATTTTTCCATTATTACTACATAGCAAGCATTAGGGATCTGGATATGACTGTCAGTTCCTGGCCTCAAGCTGGGAAGACAAGACAGGACAGATGCAACCCAGGGTATCCCCTTTGTCTAAGCTGTGTTCCTGAGACAAGCTGAGGTCATCCCACGTTTTTTCCACCGCGTCCCAATTACCCACTGACTTAGAATATAAACTCCAGGATATTTTAGCACCAATTCCGAGTGATCATTCACGGCAGAGCTTCTGAGCTCTTTTAATCCTTCTAGGCCTTGTCACCTTGTGTCCATTGTCTCTCCTGTCCCCTCCATTCAGCACGTCACAAGAACAGTTTCCCCAAAGCACCACTCTTATCCTATTTCTCTGCCGCTCCATATCTTCCAAGGGCTCCTTATTTCCTGGAAGCCAAAGCCTAGGTTCGATGCCATCCAGGCTGATCTCTGCTGTTCCGTGTGGGGATTCTGCTTTGCCGGACTGTTTGCTGTCATTTCAGCACATGTTCAGCTTTCCTGTATTGTGCCTTTGCTTGTTTCCTGTTTCGCTTCCCATCTTCAGTGCCTCCACTTATCCCTTCCGGCCCTGCTCTCCTGCCTACTGAGACTCTATCCCCCAGTGTCAGTCAAAGGCTGCCTCTGCCATGCAAGTGGCCGAGCCCATTTGTGCTCTGCAGCACACTCTTTCATACCTCGTATTTTCTGTTTGTGCTACCTTACAGTGTATTTATTTGCATTAATTTCCTTTCTAGACTTTAACATTTGTGAAAACAGGGATGGCATCTTTACCTCTCTGCATCCCTCACTGCATGAGTATACCAAACACAGAAGATGATAAAGATTTGTTAACAAGTGAATAAATAAATGAAAACATTTCAACATTTAGGATATGATTTCTTCTTTAAAGCAAAGTCCTTTTATCATGAGAATGACCCCTGAACTCTCTCGCACAATATGACAATGTTCCTAGAAAAGCCCTTTAAAGGGCTATATAAAATCACAAAATGCATCCTCTTAATCACAAAAACTCTGATCGCTGTGTAACGAGGATATTCAAAGATTTTTAAAGTGAGTATGAATACTCACAGTGAATCACAAGGGTTCTAACTAAGCAAAGAATTAATATACGCAAAGAGTAGAAAACATGGGCTGCGTTCCATTTCATTGGTGAAAAACAGCTCCCTATTCCTAGTGCAATAAGCATGTATGTAGTTAGTTAGGATTGCAGTCCAACTCAGAAACTAAAGATGGAATTTAACTCCTTGCCTTTCACTTTGATTTTGCTTTCAATATAGGTTTGATATTGACATTACCATGAAAATAGTTTACCTTTGTTCCCAATTTTACGCAATGGCAGGGGACACATTGCTGACTAACAAGGCTCTCTGAAATCAACAATGTATGTATTGGACATCTTAATGTGCTTGGCCCAGTACTAGGTGCCACAGGAAATTATTAAGAAAGACATGGAGGTGCTCATCATATCCAACAGAGAGATGGTTTATAAACCATTGCTGCGTACAAGCAGTGCTACTGATTTCTGGATTAGACTACAAAAGCAATTGTTGAGTGCCCCTCTGTGACCAAAAACTGGAATGGAACAGAAGCTAGGAAAGGGCTGAATTCACTGCAAATGGAAATGTAAAAATCCAGCTGTTTTTGATTTTTTATAGTACAAATGGGAGTTAGCACATTGTCGAGCTTACAGAGGAAGTCACACAGCTACCCCTTTGTCAGGGCTTGTAGGGGACAGGCCAGAGCGGGTGTGGAGCTGTTGGGGAAGCTAATTTCTTTATTCAAGCTGAGCTCTGCTTCCTCTGGCTATTGTTGCTGTAATTGGCATCAAGGGAGGATGGCTGCCACTGTTTGACAGTGACAATGACATTCTCCTCAAGGGCTAATACTTTAATTTATGAGAGACAAAGAGAAGGAGCAAGTCTTACGCCAAGAGGCAGGAGTACAAAGAGAACTTGATCCGTACAGATGTCAGCTTCTTGAAAAGAGAGTCCTGACAGGGCAGTTTGGCCTGTAACGTGCAGCCACATGACACATCTGGAAAAGCTCTTTTTTTGTGTGAGGGATGATGCCTATGGCTGGCCTGCTGGACCAAGATGGATGGCAAGGCAAACATCTGTGGACCTCAAAGTGTTCACACTTTCAGAGATTTTGTCATGCTTTATGACATATCAAGACCTTAAATTAACATGTGGACTTCTTTTTAATGTATCAAGGAAAGCCAGTAATGCAGGTGGCATCTTTCTTTTTAACCAACTCTTGATCAACAAGCAACACTTACTTAAATAAGCTCTGGAAAATGCCAGTGAGGCAATAGTGGTTGCTGTTCATTTACTCATATGACAAATATTGGAAATTGGATTTCCAATATTGAATGAATGGCTATTGTCATAATTGTTATCAGTCATGCTAAGAAAAGTTTTCATTTATATTGTGCTTTATAAGGCTCCAAGTGTTTTTGCCTAAGTATTCCCTCTGGATTCTCATGATAATACTAGCAGGTATACAAGGTAGGTGTCACTCCCCTTTTACATGCAAGAAAACTCTGAGGCCAACAGAAGTGACCAGGGGTATTACTGATGCAGTAGAGACGTTATTACTGTTGGTAGTTGATTATTTACAGGTTCTGCAGTTTAAGAAATCTTTTTCTTATTCAGTGGGAAAGAAAAGACTTTAGCAAGGAAGAGGGCAAAACCATAGATTGATTTTACACTCTGCATCCTACTATGTGTATTTGAAATTTCTTGGATGAATCCACTATTCCCCCATCTTGCAGGGAAATATGCACTGAATGATTTTCTATTTTGGCATATCCATCATCTTCTTTGCTGGCCCTCATCATCAAGCTGTCCTAAATTTCCAAAGGCTTACTATGAGCACTTAGTAACAGTGGCAAATCCATTTAAACAAGTGTGTTTGCTCCAATAGCTGAAAAGCACTCACTGACTCACCCTGTAGGAGGACCAGCCTCTGCCTGGGGGTGAGTTGTGCTGCTGGCTGTAGACAGGACTTTCAGCATGAACAGAGAGTCTTGCACCTCTCTATTTTTTTTAAGTAAGTGTTTTCATTTTATGATACTTTTGGATTTACAGATCAATTGTGAAGATAGTACAGAGAGTTCCTATATATCCAGTACCCAGTTTCCCTATTATTAACCTCACACAAAACATTTGTCATAATTGAGGAACCAGTATAGATGCACTATTGTTAATGTAAGGCCACATTTTATTTAGGTGTCCTGAGTTTTTCCCTAAGGTCCTTTTTCTGTTGTAGGATCCCATCCAGGACACCACATTATCTTTATTGCCATCATGTCCCCTTAGATTCCTCTGAGCTGTGACAGTGTCTCAGACTTTCTTTGATTTTGAAGACCTGGAAAGTTTTGAGAAATATTGGTTAAGTATTTTATAGACTGTCTCACAGTAGGAATTTGTCTGATTTTTTTTATCATGATTAAACTAGGGTTAGGGTTTGGGGAGAAAGACCTCAAAGGCCACGTTTATGATGTTGTGTCCAGGTTACATGCTACCCACTTGACTTATACAGTTGACGTTGGCCTTGATCACCTGGCTGAGGTTGTGTTAGTCAGATTCCCCCACTATAAAGTTACTCTTTGCTCCACTCCTTCATACCATACTTGTTGGAAGGAAGTTGCTATGCATAGCCCACCCTTAAGGAGGGTTGCGTCTACCTCCTTGAAGGTGGAGAGTCTACATAAATCATTTGGATTTCTTCTACAAGGGAGAATTGTCTCTCATCCCCCATGTATTTATTCATTTACTTATGTCAGTATGGACTCATGGATATTTATTTTATCCTTTGAGCTACAACCTGACACTATTTATTTTCTTGTTTGCATTGTTCTGGATGTGCCTACTAGCCACTCTTTCAGTTGGCTACTATGTTCCTTTGACATACCTCCATCATTGTGTCTGACATTTTTGTTGATCTTTTTGTTTTGAGCACTTTCTTAATTCCTGCCGCTACAAGATACTCCAGACACATTTTGTATGTTTCCTGCCCCAGTCCTAGAATCAGCCATTTCTCCAAGAAGCCCTGGTTCTTTTCGTTGAAGAGTGGTGTTGGAAACCAAGATCTGTGTGAATCTTTTCTTCCCATTGGTAACAATGTTTTTAAATATTTGCAGGAAATGGATAAGAAATATATGAAATATTTTGCTTCTAGGGATGCTGGAGAATTAGTAATCAAGTCCAACTGTCTCCATATCAGGACCTGAGGCCTGCAGGTGTTATGTCACTTTTACAGATCACTCCCATAGTCAGTGGAAGAGCAGAGGACTCTTTATGTTTCACTATCAGAGACAATAATATGACAGGTAATTGATGGTTTTTCCAACAGGAAAAAACAGATTATTCAGTAAATGAGATTGCCCCATGGGTGAGCCATACAAAACAAAGTTAGGCTTCTACAACCAGCCAATTTAACCAATAAGTTAAAATCCAAACATTAAAAAATGAAACTTTATTAGAAAAAAATGTGGCAGTATATTTGCACAAGCTTACAGGAGGGACAGCTTCTTAAACAGACACACACAAAAGGGCAAAATCCATAACAGGAAAATATTGTTAAATCCAACTACATTAGCATTTAAACCTTATGGATTACAAAGGACAGCATGAAACCAGTTCCAGGCTAAGGGAAGTTGTCATGGAGGAATACGGAATGAACTCCTACACATGATAGTCAAACGACAAACCAAGAAATGGTAAAATAAGAAATGCAAGCATTCGGTTCACAAAAAAAGGAAAATCAGAATGGTCAATTAAATGATGCTCAGCCTTACCCCTAATTAGGAGAATGCACATTAAAGCACTAATGAAGTATAATTTTTCATTGATCAGATTGTCCAAGAATTTAGCAGTGTGATAATATGGACAGCTGGCAATGTTAAGAAAGGCAATACTTATATATGACTGATGGGAGAATAAATGACTGCAGCCACTAGGAAGGGCAATTTGATAGAATCTAATAACACTGTCACCAAGCTTCCCCTATGCCTTAGAAAGTGAGTTTTAAAATATCTGTCCCAGAGAAATGCAAACATAGATCCACGTGGATACGACAAATGGGAATGTTCTCTACATCATTATAACAGCAAAAAATTAGAAACAATCTAATGTCTGTCAATAGAAGGATGTATAAATAAAATATACTAAATGATTACAATGGAAAACAAAACACATTCAGAAGGAAGGAATGAATGAGAGCTGTCCTTTCATCCATTTTATCTATTTTCTGTCTGCATTTCAAAATGGATATATCTCAGAAATATTTCTCAGTTAAAAGGCAAACTGCAGAAGGAAACAATATTAACACACAGAATAGTGTAATATATTTTCTATGTTTATATCCATATAGATATAAAAGTATTTTTAAAGGTAGTTAATGACACTCAATTATCATAATTTTGGTTATAATTGGGGGTGATAAGGGGAGTGGGATTGGAAGTGTGGAACAAAATATATGCTGATGGTCTATTTTTAATAAGGAAAATAGACTCTGTATTGAGTCAAATTAAAAACTAATTTTGAAAAGAAAAACTTGTACAGAAAGAAATTACAGAAAAGGAAAGATAATAAATTACAGCTCTTCATAAAGGCAAACTGCTTTTCTAACCATACTTATCAAAATTCCAAGAGCTGTCATTTATTTCTGAAGGGAAAATAGCTTTTCTTGGTTAGAAATCAGGTAATTTTCTGATAAATGCACCTGTATCATGCCCCCAGTACATGAGTCACTGTAATTTTCCTCTCTTCTTTATTTTCAAATGGCTTTTCTACCTTAGAGGTTCTGAATCATCCTCTCACTTGCAAATTTGCAACTCAGTCAATATGCATTAAGATGGAAATTCATTAATCATAGAAGCAATAATCTTTAGATAAAAGGCATTTATTTAACAGAATTTTAAGGGGAGAATCTTAAGCAGGAAATGAAAGAATTTTTTATTCTTGATTAAAAGAATAAAATAGAAAAGCTGAAAATCTTTAAAGTCTTTTAAAAAGATTTTAAAGACAAATTTTTATTACTCGTTGATTCCTTCAAGCCTGGATTGGAACCACAAGAGGTCAACCACTTCAGTCTCCTGAAAAAACCTAACCTAAACCCTAGATGACATTTTGCAGATCTCTGGGAATGAAAATTTAGGTTATCAGAATGTTCTAAAACTACCCAGGACTAATAATAAGGAAGCAATTATTTTTTCCTTAATTTTAATCTAAATCTTACGGTGAAACCATTTTCTTGAGCTCAGCTTCATATGAGTGACTTGTTCGATGTGGTACATATGACGTTGAGTCACCTTACAACCTGACTTTCCTTATTTCCTGATCATCATATACTTGGTGGATTGTTTCCCTGCCTCCTGCAGATCTAATTCTTGTTAATTCACCAGGTGAAATGAAAATAAACCTCCACTAAAGCAATGGAGGCTGCTGCTGCTGCTGACGACAAATAGATAACGTTGATAATGACAAATAGATAATATTGATCAGTGGTGATGTGTGGAGCCAATGGGATTTCTGTGGGGGATGACTGTTTGGTGATACAAACATTTGTCTCTATGCATATGCTAATTTGGATGCATATCTATGTTGTTGCTAAATGCCACAAAATTAGGGGCAGGAAGAGGCGCCCTAACCTGATTCTTGAAGTGAGAGTTACAGGAACGGCTCTTGCCATCTCTAAAGCCCAGAGCCAGACAAAGTGAGATTGAGACAGAGGTCACTAAATCAAGTTGGATGGTTTGTGTGGAAAGACTACGAAGCATTAGAGGCAGGACTCTGGCCACAGAGACAGAAGACTGGATCACGCATCCTGACTCTGCTGCCACCCCAATCTCTTAATTTTGGGCAAATTTTTGAACCATGCTTTTTTTCTCTGGGAGATGAGCACATTGACTTAGATAATGTTTATGGTTCCTTCCTACTGATATATTCCAGGATGATGCATTGGTACTTCACTACCTCGATACTTCAGAAGAAACAGAATTAAAGAGTTTCCCTGGTTCTTCTTTTGAATCTGAGACATAGGAGAGGTTTGAATCTACTGGAGCCCATCCTTTATCTCCTTCAGGCTGGAGGCTGGGAACAGTGACATCACTCTTCTCAAGACTCTGTTTCCCCTTATATATGACTGATGGGAGAATAAATGGCTAGTTCATATTTGCAGTGAACCAGGCATTTTCTATGAACCAAGCCACGTAAGTTTATAAGTACAACTCCAGGAACAAATGGACAGACTAAAATTAAGATTTTTCTGAAAAACCCAAGAGATAGAGTGATTTATTTTGCTTCACCAATTGCATAGCCACCAAGAGCAATCTTTGGTTACCTGATCCACAGATCAAACTCCTTATCCCTATGCTTCTCAAACTGTGCAGACCCCTTTTAACGGGGAAAAAAATTCATAAACACCCAATGTTTTCTCAGTCAATAGAATTCTCACTGCCACTACACAGAGGTTTCTGTATTCCATGTGTGATACTAAAGTATATGGTGTGTGCCTCAGTTTCCCCTACTTTTCACAGGCTACACAAACAAAATAACTTTTACCTTGAAGGCACCATTCATCCATTCATTCCTTGTGCAAATATTTATTTAGCACTTACTATGTTGCAGAAGCCAGCATGGCTGCAGCAGAATGAGGGAGTGGAAGAAGAGATGAGAGCTGGGTACAAAGCATGAGGAGTAGAGGCCTGGTAAGGACTTTGCTTTTATGCTGAATGAAGTGGGGAGCTACCATAACTGTCATTGGACCTTCCTCCTGTGGCTATTCACTTGTATATTAAGTTCATTGATGGGATACATCAATGAACAAATCCATTTCCTGTCCATGGAGAACCTTTATTCTAGACCAGCGGTTGGCAAATATCTTGTAAAGGAACATAGAGAAAATCTTTTCAGCTTTGTAGCCATTTTTTGTTCTTTGTCACAACTCTGCTGCTGTTGATCCGAAACAGCCATTGATAACTGCAGCCATAGACGGATGGACCTGGTTGTGTTCCCGTAAAACTTAATATTAATAAATAACAGATGGTGGGCTGGATTTGGCTCAAGGCTGTAGTTTTCTGATCCCTGTTCTAGACAATAAACAATAAACCTAATAAAAAAGCAAATTATTAATATATAATAGCTAGAAGGTAAGTGATATGGAAAAGGAAAACATTGAGCAGGGAAAGGTGATTTGGAGTGCTGAGTGAATGAGGATGCAGTTTTAATTAGGAGGGAAAGTGGTACTTGAGCAAAGCCTTGAAGAAGGAGAGTGAGCCCTGGAGCTCTCTGAGGGGAGCAAGTGCAAGTTGTAAGCAGAGGGAACACCCAGGGCCAAGTTCCTCCTGCGGAGAAGGGCCTAGTGTGGGTGCAGAAGCCAGCATGGCTGCAGCAGAATGAGGGAGTGGAAGAAGAGATGAGAGCTGGGTACAAAGCATGAGGAGTAGAGGCCTGGTAAGGACTTTGCTTTTATGCCGAACGAAGTGGGGAGCTACCATAACTGTCATTGGACCTTCCTCCTGTGACTATTCACTTGTATATTAAGTTTCCTTTGCTTCCTTTGCTCTTTAGCTACCAACCATAAAAGTCACAGCACAGCTTGGAACCCACAGGATTGTAACCTCAGATGTAATGCTGCATGTTGAAATTTTTGGTTAATGGGCAGTCATTGCAATGATCTCAATATACTTTTACTAACAGCCTTAAGATAATCATAAAAATAAAAGTGTAAAAATGCTTAGAATTGGTCATTAAAAATTCATGGATTTCCCAGGAATATGTACATGGAGTCCTATTGGATCTGCATTGTGCCATAGTCAGCTTTTTTACATGTTGCTTTATATGGAATTCAGGTTGGTGATGGGTGGCATAGAGGAACATTATGAGACTAGGGCTAAATAGATGAATGCATTTAAGGAAAAATGAAGGTTAGTAATTAAAAATGATTAAGATTTATCTTCTCTGTATTCCACATTCTAGAGTCCTAGGAACGGATTCCTTGGAGGCTCTGTTGTCCCAGATGCCTTTGCACTGGAACATATTCAGCATGTACCTTTCTTCTCTCGTTCCTTGTCTTCTCTCACTCATCTATTAGATTCTTCTAAAAAGAGTTTCAGCCTCCAAAGATCCCATTATGATAGCTATTTAGTCAACACCAATGGAGGACACCATGATTGCTGGTATTGAATTCAGGGAAGGCAGAAACATGCTGTCAGGAGCCAGGTTTTCTGAAGCTAAAATACTGTTTCAGATACTTGCTTATGATGCACCATCATTTGCTTTTCCCTGTTATTTGCCTCTGTGTTAGGACTGTATGCTCTGAATGAAAGAGAACATAATTTCCTAGCCAGAAGTAGGTCCCTCTCTGGTCAGGGGTCTAAAGGTGTTCATTCTTTCATCCTTTTCTCTTCTTTTTGTCCTTGATGGTAAAGCCATTTGTTTACGAAGACTGCTATACAGTCTCCTTTTTCTGCACTACAGAAAGTTCTTTCATAGCTTTATGCTGAAGTGTTTTACTCATCTCTACTGCTTTCTTCTACTGCTACCCTTGTTCAGGCTTAATGTTATACTTCATTAAACAGAAGCACTTGCTCTAGGAAGAGTTTCCAAGTACAGCCTGCCCTGGAGGAGTATCTGACAGTGCCATCTTTGCTCATTCCTGTTTGTGTTTCCTAAAATGGCACTTGCTTCTTCAACTTCTGTTGGCTGTCACCCAGCCCCTCAGGACCCCTTCTGTCATGACTGTTCTTGGTAGTCTCCAATCTGAGACTCCAGATTCCTGGATGCTGCCTGACTGACTTCTGTTCCAAGTTTTTGGTGGACAAGATGGACTTCATTCAGTTATCAGACTGATTCCTGGTGTTCCCTTTTCCTTTTTTCTGGAGATAAAGGGTAAACCTCATTTTTTGGATATCATATCACTCACCTACACAGATTACATAAAGTTAATACTCTAAAAGGCAAAGTTTGTTTGTTTTAACTTCAACATAGTTTTGAATGTTGCTAAATATCAGAGAAATGTGGATCTCTTTCTGTATGTTCCCCCAAAATTCCTGCAATTTCCTATCTATCGAAAAAAAGCAGACCAGAGCTATTCAATTTAATGATTTAAATAAATAAAGTAATTTAAGCAGAAAATGAATATAGGCTTTTTTCCTTCTATTTTTCAAATGTATTTTGCAAAACACTGCAGAATTCCATGCTAGGTGCCACTGGCAACTCTGTGTTTGAAGATACTTGTGGTATTTAATTTTCTTGGATATTTCTTATCAATTTATTTCACACTCAAGTTGATTCAAGTGCAGTCCTCATAATTCCATTAACTTTGCGACTGTTCCCACATCAACTAGAAGGATGACATGTAATCACACAGGGCTCCTCTGAACCAGAATTTTCTTTTAATTTGCTTATCCCAATCTAAGATTGTTTTCTGCCTTTTTGAATCAGGGCAAATAAATTACAACTCATTCCCCAGCTCTATCTCAGGGGGTTATAATGTACCTCCCAACCACCCTACTCAGCTTTGCTGCATAATAACATTCAGCTGAACACCAGAATTGTGCAGTTTACTGAACAGCCTTCACTTGTCAGAGTTCAGATACGTAAAGGATCTATGTTACTCTGTGAGATTTGTGTTAATTTCATATTTGTCAGCAGTCTACAAAAACTGTGATGCTTTAAAAAAAAATCAGTCTTTATCACCTACAAGTGAATCCCAATATGACTATCAGCAGATTGCTCAGCAGAACCCCTTCTGGCCAAGAGAGAGTGGGATGTTATACTCAAAGTGCTGAGGGAATAAAATTATCAACCAAGAATACTTTACCTGACAAAACTGTCCTTCCCCAGACAAACAAAAGCCAAGAGATTTATCACTACTAGGCCTGCCTTACAAGAATTGCTAAAGGGAGTTCTTCAACTTGAAATAAATTGAAATTAAAATTAGTAACATAAAACATACAAAAATATAAAACTTGATGGTATAAGTAATATAAAGTCATATTCAAAATACATTAGGACTGCAATGGTGACATGTAAAGCAATTTTATCTCTAGTACGAGGCTTAAAAGAAAAATTATTAAAGCAATTGTGGATAAAACAAATTGTCAAGATACAGATTACAAAATGATGAAAGTTTTGATGTCAAAAGCATTTAAGGGGGACACTAAAAGTAGAGAGTTGTTGTAGGTAATCAAAGTTATGTTGTTATCAGCTTGAAATACCTGGTTATAAGATGTTTTATGTAAGTCTCACAAAGCAAAGATTTGTAGTAGATGCACAAAACATAAATTGAAAGATTCAAAGCATATCACTGTGGAAAACCATGAAACCACAAGGGAAGACAGCAGGAGAGAAAAAATGAAGCAAAGTATCTACAAAATAACCAGAAAACAAATTACAAATGACAGTAACAAGTCCTTACCTATCAATAATTACTTTGAATGTAAATAGATTAAAATCTCCAATAAAAAGACAGAGTGGCTGGTTGAATTTTAAAAACAAATTAAAAAGACTCAACTTTATGCTGCCTATAAGAGACTCATCTCACTTTTGAGGTGATATGTCCCTTGTTGAAAGGTGTTAGAGTCCCCTACTATTATAACATTGCAGTCTATCTCTTCCTTTAGATCCTTGAATATTTGCTTTGTATATTTAGGTGCTCCAATGTTAGAGCACCTAAATATAGACTGAACGTGAAGGGATGGAAAGAGATGGAAAGAAAAGGAGAACAGGAGTAGCTATATTTATATCAGTCAAAATAGACTTTATGTCAAAAACTATAAAAAGAGACAGAGAAGGGCATTATATAATGATAAAGGAGTCAATTCATCAAAAGGATATAACAATTATTAACACATATACAGTAAGTTTTCCCTTGATGTCATCAGTAGGTTCTTGGAAACTGAGGTTTTAAGTGAATATGTATAACCAAATCCATTTTACCATAGGCTAATTCATATAAGCAAGAGTTAAGTTCCTATGGCATATTTCTGGTCACAAAAACATCACCAAACTTCTAAACAAAGACCCCAAACACTTCTAATATTAAATACTGAAATAAATGTGAGCTACTATACATTTATGAAAGAGTAATAACAACAAGTAAGATAATTATTTATCAAATTTTTTGTGAATCAGTGTAGGATGTTAGTCATCACGGTGGTGGATTAAATCAAAGAATAATTGTTTACAAAGCAAAAATTACAAGGAATGCCTCCAACCAACATGCAGTTCAAAAATAATTACAGATATGACAGGATTGCAGAGTGCTTTCACACTGCATTGTTTATTCCTCTGCATTTGTATAATTATTGTATGCTTTGCGAATATTTATTTTACAATAATTTATATGTATTTATTTATTCATTTTCCAATGTGTTTATTCCAGTTAAGGGTCACAAATGGCCAGAGCCTATCCCAGCAGCCCAGGGCACAAGGTGGGAACCAACTGTGAACAGAACTCCATCACATTGCAAGGCATACTCACGCACACACACACCCAGACTCACTCACACTAAGACAGTTTAGACATGCCAGTTAACCTAATGTGCTCATCTCAGGATGTGGGAGGAAGTGAGAGCACTTGAAGAAAATCCACGTAGACATGGAGACAACATGCAAACTCTATGCAGACAGTGGCCCTAGCCCAAAATTGATATTTTTCTTATCAATGTTATCATGAAATGACTTTGAATGCAACATCACTATTCAAGGACCTGCTGTACACCCAACATTGGAGCACTGAAGGGGTGGCCTGCCCCTCCACACCTGTGGGAATATCTCATCAGGTGGGATGAGAGACTGAGAAAAGAAATAAGACACAGAGACAAAGTATAGAGAAAGAAAAGTGGGCCCAGGGGACTGGCACTTAGCATACCAAGGACCTGCACGGGCACCGGTCTCTGAGTTCCCTCAGTTTTTATTGATTATTATTTTCACTATCTCAGCAAGAAGAATGCGGTAGGAGAGCAGGGTGATAATAGGAAGAAGGTCAGCAAGAAAACATGTGAGCAAAAGAATCTGTGTCATAATTAAGTTTAAGGGGAGGCACTATGCCTGGATGTGCACATAGGCCAGATTTATATTTCTCTCTGCCCAAACATCTCAGTGGAGTAAAGAATAACAAGGCAGCATTGCTGCCAACATGTCTCGCCTCCCGCCATAGGGTGGTTTTTCTCCTATCTCAGAATTGAACAAATGTACAATTGGGTTTTATACTGAGACATTTAGTTCCCAGGGGCAGGCAGGAGACAGTGGCCTTCCTCTATCTCAACTGCAAGAGGCTTTCCTCTTTTACTAATCCACCTCAGCACAGACCCTGTATGGGTGTTGGGCTGGGGGACATTCAGGTCTTTCTCATCCCACGAGGCCATATTTCAAACTATCACATGGGGAGAAACCTTGGAAAATACCCAGCTTTCCAGGACAGAGGTCCCTGCGGCTTTCCGCAGTGCATTGTGCCCCTGGTTTATCGAGACTAGAGAATGGTGATGACTTTTACCAAGCATACTGCTTGTAAACATTTTGTTAACAAGGCATGTCCTGCACAGCCCTAGATCCCTTAAACCTTGATTTCATACAACACATGTTTTTGTGAGCTCAAAGTTGGAGCAAAGTGGCTGGGGCAAAGTTACAAATTAACAGCATCTCAGCAAAGCAATTGTTCAAGGTACAGGTCAAAATGGAATTTCTTATGTCTTCCCTTTCTACATAGACACAGTAACAGTCTGATCTCTCTTTCTTTGCCCTACAAGCACCTAAATATACAAAGCAAATATTAAAGGATCTGAAGGAAGAGATAGACTCAATATTATAATAGTATGGGACTCTAATACCCCACTACCAACAATGGATATATCATCTAGACAGAAAATTAATAGGACAATATTGGCCTTGATCTATAAAACATCAAATAGAACTAAAAGACACGTACAGAACATTTCATCTAACAGCATCGGAATACTCATTCTTCTCAAGCACACATGAAACATCCTCCAGGATAGGCATATGTTAGACCACAAAACAAATCTGAATAAATTTAAGAGGATTCAAATTGTATCAGATATCTTTTCTGATCACAGTAGTATCAAACTAGAAATCAATAACAGGAGAAATCTTGGAAAATTTACAAAGGAGTAAAAATTAAACAACATGCTCGTGAACAACCAATGAGTCAAAGAAGAAATCAAAAGGGAAATTTTTAAAATTTTTGAGACAAATTAAAATAGCAAAAACAACCTACAGGATGCAAAAACTTACAGGATGCATCAACAGGAATTCTAAGGAGAAATTTTTAGCAATAAGCACTTATGTCAAAAAAGAAGAAAGATCTCAAATAAACAACCTAATGTTATACCTCAAGGAACTAGAAAAAGAAGAACAAAGTACAAAGTTAGGAGAAGGAAGGAAATAACAAAAATCAAAGCAGAAATAAATGAAACAGAGACTAGAAAAACAATAGAAAAAAAAAACAATGAAACTACAGAGCTGTTTTTTGAAAAGATAAGCAAAAGCAAAAAGCCCTTAGCTAGGCTAAGAAGAAAAGAGAGAAGACTCAAATAAAATCAGAACTCAGAGAGGAGACATTACAACTGATACCGCAGAAACACAAAGGATTCTAAGAGATTACTATGAATCATTATATGCCAACAACTTGAATAACCCAGAAGAAACTGATACATTCCTGGAACTATACAATTACCAAGACGGAATTGTGAAGAAACAAAATCTGAACTGACCAGTAACGAGTAAAGAGACTGAGTTAGTAATAAAAACTTTCCCATCAAAAAAAAAAAAAGAGCCCAGAGCTTCACTGCTACTGCTGAATTCTGTCAAATATTTTTAAAAATAATACCAATCTTTCTTAAACCTTTCAAAAATTATGAGGAAAGCCATACATCTGATAAGAGGTGAACTCATTTTTTAAGGCCAGCCTTACCCTGATACCAAAGCCAGACAAGGATATTACAAGAAAAGAAAATTATAGACCAATATTCCTGATGAATACAGATGAAAAAATCCTCAATAAAATACCAGCAAACAATTCAACAGCACAGTGAAAGAATCACTCATGTAATCAAGTGGGATTTATTCCTGCGATGCAAGGATGGTTCCACATACACAAATCCATAAATGTGATGCACCACAGTGACAGAATGAAGGACAAACGCCATATGATCATCTCATTAGATGCAGAGAAAGCATTTGACAAATTTAACATTTTTTATAATGAAACTCTCTACAAATTAGATGTAGAAGAAATAATCTACTTTAGCACAATAGAGGCCGTATATGAAAAACCCACAGCTAACACTATACTAAAAGCTTTTCCTCTGAGATCAGGAACAAGATAAGAATGCCCACTCTAACCGCTTCTGTTCAACATTTTAGTGGAAGTACTACTAGCCAGAGCAATTAGACAAAAGAAAAAAATAAAGGTCATCCAGATAGGAAAAGAAGAAGTTAAATTGTCCCTGTTTGCAGATGACATGATCTTGTATGTATGTATAACTTTGACCACTCCACCCAAAAACTGTTAGAAGTAATAAATGCATATGGTAAAGTTACAGATTACAAAACTAATACACAAAAATCAGTAGCATTTCTATATACTAACAATGAACTATCTGAAAAAGAAATTAAGAAAAAATTCCATTTACGCTAACTAAAACAAAATAAAATGCATAGGAATAAATTTAAACAAAGAGGTGAAAGATCTGTACGTTGAAAACTATAAAGATCATTGAAAAAAATTATAAAAGGCACAAGTAAATGGAAAGGTATTCTGCATTCATGGATAAGAAGAATTAATATTGTTAAAATATCCATACTACCCAAAGCAATCTACAGATTCAATGCAATCCTTATCAAAATTTCAGTAACACTTTTCACAGAAATAGAAAAACAATCCTAAAATTAATATAGAATCACAAAAAATCCTGGAAGTCAAGATAATCTTGAACAAAAAGAACAAAGCTTGAATGGCCAAGTGTGGCTAGCTGGGTACAGTGGCTCATGCCTGTAATCCCAGCACTTTGGGAGGCCGAGGCGGGTGCATCACTTCAGGTCAGGAGTTCGAGACCAGCCTGGCCAACATGGTGAAACCCTGTCTCTACTAAAAATACAAAAGTTAGCCAGGTGCGGTGTGGTGTGCCCCTGTAATCCCAGTTACTTGAGAGGCTGAGACAGGAAAATCACTTGAACCCAGGAGGCGGAGTTTGCAGTGAGCCGATATTGTACTGCTGCACTCTAGCCTGGGCGACAGAGCAAGACTCTATATCAAAAAAAAAAAAAAAATGCAAGAACAAAACTGGAAGCATCACACTACTTGATTTCTAACTATCTTATAAAGCTATAGATATTAGAACAGTGTGATACTGGCATAAAAATAGACACATGGACTTATGGAACAGAATAGAGAGCTCAGAAATGAACCTATGCATTTTCAGTCAATTGATTTTCAACAAAGGTGCCAAGAACACACTATGGGGGAAAGGTCAGTCTCTTCAATAAAGGGTGTTGGGAAAACTGGATATCTACATGCAGAAGAATGAAATTGGACCCTCATCTCACACCTTATACAAAAATAAACTCAAAATGGATTAAAGATTTAAACATAAGACCTGAAACTGTAAAACTATAAGAAGAAGACATAGGGGAAAGCTACATTGCTCTGGGCAATGATGTTTTGAATTTGACTCCAAATGCTCCAGTACCAAAAGCAAAAATAAATAAACGGGATTACAACAAACTAAAAATTTTCTGCACCGCAAAGGAAACAATAAAGTGAGGACACAGTCTACAGATTGGGAGAAAATATTTATAAGCCATACATCTGATAAGGGGTGAATATCCAAATTATATAAGGAACCCAAAAGAACTCAATAGCAAGAAAACAAATAAATTAGAAATGGACAAAGAACTTGAATAGACATTTCTCCAAAAAAGACATACAAATGCCCAAGAGATATGTTTTAAAAAATGTTCCACATCACTAATCATTAGGGAAATGCAAATTAAAACCACAGTGAAATATCACATCACACCTGTCAAAGTGGCAATTATCAAAAAAATGAAACATAAGTGTTGGTGAGGATGTAGAGAAAAAGGAACCCTTGTGCACTGTTGATGGGAGTGTGAATTAGTACAGCCACTATGGAAAACAGCCATTATGGAAAACTGAAAAAGTTAAAAATAGAATTACCAGCAATCTCACTTCTGAATATGTAGCCTAAGGATTTGAAACCAGTATGTTGAAGAGCTATCTGCACTCTCACTTTCATTGTGTTATGGTTCACCATAACCAAATTATGGAATCAACCTAAGGATCCATCAATGGATTAATGGATAAAGAAAATGTAGTATATTATATATGCATGATGAGGTACTATTCAGTCTTTAAAAGGAAGGACATTCTGTCATTTGTGACAATGTAGATGAACGTGGAGGACAACATACTAAATGAAATAAGCCACACATGGAAAGACAAATACAATGTGACCTCATACTTCTGTGTGGAATTCAGCTCATAGATGAAGAGTAGAATGATGGTTACCAGAGGCTGGAGTGTTGTGAGGAGAGGAGCACATATATCATTGTGCCACAAAACTTTTGGATAATTTGATGAATGTATTTCAATGCAATTGATTTCTTTTGTAATCCCATGTGCTTGATGTTAGGAGTTTACAAATACTATAGTCTATTTATAGATTTCACTAGTCTGCCAAGTAGTCTGTGGTACAAAGAATTTAAGAAGCCCCGGTCTAAGGTTTGTGCCTTTGTTCGCTTACACCACTAACACCACTCCAGGAGGAAGGGGGAGGCAGATGGCAGGCAGTATAGCTCAGAGGGCACACGTGTGGGCTCTGGAGTCTTCCTGGATTTGAATTCTTGTCCCAAACAGTTACTGGCTCTGTTATTAACTTGGGCAATTCATTTAACCCCATTAAACATCATTCCTTAATCTGCGTGTCTTAGTAACAGTAGTCCATACCTTATTGGGTGACCAATAAGAATTATACAAAATAACGTGTCCAGTACAATCAGTTCTCATTTGCAGTAGTTATGCTCCACAAAGTTACCATGAAGAGCGAATTAGTGAATACTGAACAGTTTCTTTTTAAGCTGCCAACACCAAAGCTAGGGTTGGAGTGCCAGAAAACTCAATGATCAAAAGAAATAATAATTCTCATTATTCAAGTGGTGATGTTCTATAAAGTCATCATGAACACTGAATTAAGGAATACTGAAGCATTGCTCCTGGGAAAAAGACAAGGTTAGGTTCCTGTGAGCTTCTGGTCACATTTTCATCAACTGACCAAATATAATTTTCTTTGATGTGTGTTTCTGTTTAAAGACACCTTGCAGCCGGGCGCAGTGGCTCATGCATGTAGTCCCAGCACTTTGGGAGGCTGAGGCGGGTGGATCACGAGGTCAGGAGATCGAAACCATCCTGGCTAACACTGTGAAACCCCGTCTCTACTAAAAAATACAAAAAATTAGCCTGGCACAGTGGCGGGTGCCTGTAGTCCCAGCTACTCGGGAGGCTGAGGCAGGAGAATGGCATGAACCCATGAGGCGGAGCTTGCAGTGAGCCGAGATCGCACCACTGTACTCCAGCCTGGGAGACAGAGCGAGACTTTGTCTCAGAAAAAAAAAAAAAAAAAAAGACACCTTGCTTAGTATTGGTGCAAAAGTAATTGCTGTTTTTGCCATTACTTTCAATGGCAAAAACCGTGATTACTTTTGCACCAAGCAAATATATGGTTGATTGATTAACATTGAACCCCTAGCCAACAGAACTACAACTCATGTCTCAAGGAAGCTTCTCTAAGGCACATCAGAGCCTCCCTGTGCTTAGGAATAGGAGACAGCATTTCACCACTCAATTTGGGGGGTGTTTTAAACAGCAAAGTCACTGAAAAAAAAAACTCCACAAAAATGAAAATCGTGACACTCAGTAGATCTAGAAAAGGGCACTTGTTTACAATATGGGAGATGAAACAAGAAGGCAGAGGCCTTCTTTGGCTTCAGCTGGAAAAATACGTGTCAGGCAACTCTCTGCACATGTCCACAAATGTCTGTGAAAACGCCGTGAATATTGATCTGGGGATAGACATAAATTTTAGCAAGTAGGTGAACTTGCAAATACAGAATCCGTGAATAATGAGGATCCACTGTATCTAACATAATAATTTCTGGAAAATGGTCAGTTCTTATTATTCTCATTACTTTATGCCCTAGAAGAAAGGCAATGATGGGCAAGGACACAGCCCTGCCCCACCTCCTCCATTCAGCTGGCTCTGAGGAATGTACAGCCAGGAATACAGGAAACAGTAGGGGAAGAGCATGTCCCCCGATTTCTCTTTGCTGATTGTCCCCCAATTTTCCTTCTATATGTTCTCCTGCTTCTCCTTCCTTTTTTCCCTCCTTCCACACTTCTTAGCATGTGCAAGAGCCTAGCTTAGTACAGTAATGGATAAAAAGACCACAGGACATCGCCTCTTCCTTCAAGGGACTGCAGCACTGGGAAGACAAACATTTATATCACAAAATGCCAGACACCATGTAACCTCATGAACACACTGCTGAATCCAATCAGAGGTGTCTAGATCCATTCTATTAACCTCCCTTCCTGTGCTTGATAAACATAACAAACACTGATTCAAGCATCTCTGCCAAAAATTCATTTCAATTGACTTTTCCTTGACTCAGAACCCATCTTGGCAACATGGTCCAGGGTGTCATTTGGGAAGTTCTCTAATTTTCCTATACATTTGTTTAAGCATCTATTTTCTTTCGCTCTAATATAATTTTTTGGTTGGGTGTGCGCACTGAGTACATGCTGCCTTTCTGGAGACGAATTAATTGCGTGTTATGACTTGCATTGATAATTCAAGAAATAGCAGCTAGAGGTTTGAAGATAGAAGAGCAATGCTACCTTTGGCCAGGCACATGTCCCAACCTGACCAGGTGGAAGCAGATTGACTTGGCCCAGAGGATGTGCCCAGCACATGTCTGCCAGAACCAGAGTCTAAAATGCAGAGAAGTGTATTCCAGCCAAGTCTAAGAGGAGACTTTCTGACAGCTCCTGCTGCCCTCTGAGGTAGTGAACTCACTATCACTAGGGTCTTCTGCCTGGTTGAGATGATCACATGTCAGGAAGCATGTCTCTCCTGAACCTTGAGTTGCAGGCTGGAAGGGGTGAGGTCTGAGGTCACTCCCTATATTAGTCTGGTTCTCCAGAAAACAGTAACAAAACCAACAGGGTGTGTATGTGCATGTATATGTGTGTGTGTAATGAGAGAGAGAGACAGAGACAGAAACAGAGAGAAATTTACTTTAAGGAACTGGCTCACCAATTGTGGAGGCTGGCAAATTCAAAAGTCCAGCGGGCTGGAAGCTCAAGAAAGAGTCGATGTTGCAGCTTGAGTCTGAAGGCCATCTGGAGGCAGAATTCTCTCTTCCTTTGGGGACCTCAGGGGTTTTTTTCCTCAAGGCCTTCAACTGATTAGATGAGGCCCACCTACATTTTGGAAATCAATCTGCTTTCCTCAACATCCACAGATTTAAGTTTTAGTCACATCCAAAAAAATAGCTTCACAGCAACATCTAGACTGGTGTTTGACCAAAAAACTGGGTTCCCCAGCCCAGTTAAATGTTCACATAGGCTCAACCATCCAACAGGGCCCCTCCCTAGGTGTCTTCAGACTCAACATCTCTGGCGCAGTACATGTAATTAAAATTCAAGTCTCAGAAATAACACACATTTCCACTGTATTTAGCGTGTAAGGTCCCTTGCTATGTTGCCTAGTTAACATTACAAATGTGAAATTTGTCATTCTAAGAGTGAGGTTGTTACTCAGTTGACACATTCTGAAGGTTCACTCAAGGGCAAGTTGAGTTGCAATGTGGCCTGATAACTGTTGATCCAGGAGGTGCTCCAGCAAGAAAAATACATGTTTAGCAAGGAGAGAATGAGTTAGACAACAGGGTTGAAAATGAGACTCTATGTTACTAGGGCATCCCAAAGCCATGTGGGTAAGCTGCACGCCATTCCATCCCACACAAAAAAAAAAATTGAAACAATGGTTTTGATAGAGTGTCTACCTTATTGTTATATTGGGGTTATTTCATTGTATTGTAGTTTTAGTCATTCTGACCTAATTTTTAGCATTTTTTGTTTCTGTTGGTTTATTGGCTTTCAAATATTTCATGTGCCTCTATAGTTCTCATTTGTTTGCCCTTGGATGAACTTCTTAAGAGGACATATTTCTGTCATAACAAAATTATTATCTTTGTACTTAGAAATGTAGATAAAAACATAGACAGAGGCAGGCTATTATTATAAAGTCCTTGTTCTTCCTGACATTAAAAATCTAATATGCAGGAAACACACTACCTTTTATTTCTTTTTTCTTTTTTCTTCTTCCTCTCTGTCCCTCCCCCTTTTTTTGAAAATTATGATTTTTCTAGATACTAAACTGGCAGTGGGATAAATTAGGTTGCTTAAAGTTTGCTTAAATTGAAATTACTCTTTTGAAGTTTGGTCCTTCTATTTCAATGACTCCTATGAACATTAACTTGAGAAGATTGTAATTGGAAGCAATTCTTTCAGTGCTACAGAATTTGTGTGTGTGTGTGAATTACTATTTTTTTCTTCTGAATACAATAAGAGCCTGAGATTTTAGGCTGGAAAATGGCTTCAAAATCACAGATCTCTAGCAGCCATTCCTCTCCTAGCCCTGAGAATTTTCTCCAGTGTTCCTAGGCTTGTCCTTACACTGAACAAAGGCATTTCTCAGTTCATTCTTTAAAGATACTATTTAGCAAATGGTCCAGAGCATTCAATTGCTACTTTGAGATGCTCGAAATGCAAAATTGATGTGGGGAATGCACAGCTGGTTCTCAGAAGGCCGCATAAAGGCATAGCTGCGGAGATTTTAGATTTTGGAAAGAACTTCTATCCAGCCTTTTCTTTTTCAAGGGAAGTTGAGGCTCAGGAAGCCCCCATGATGCATCAGACCACCTACCCTAAAAGGCAGAACAGATCTTGCACACGTCTTTGATGCCAAGACAGAGCTTGTGACCCTAGGAGACATTGCCCCGCCCCCAGCAGGCTCCAGACCTTGCACAACCAGGTCACTGCTGAGGCTAGCAAATTGGTACAGGTTGGTGCTCTGGAAAAATGTGGTCTTGAAGCTGGGCAGTAATGGAAGGAAGGCAGTGGGGGAAACCAAAGGGATTTTGATATTGTGTTCTAACATAGACCCAGCATCCTCATGCTCCCTCATCATCAGAAACCCGAAGACCCCAATCAATGTCATATCATCATCCCTTCTTTGAAATGAGAAAGCTGGAAAGTTTTCCCAATGGCCCTACCATTTAAAATATTTTATCAACCAACTGGACTTATTAAATGATTACTCATTGCTTCATTGTTTGTTCATCAAAGCCATGCATAACCACATGTGATAATCAGGCCTGATTGTATTAATATCACCTAGGATCACCATTACATCACCCAAATGATATAACCCAGCCAAAGGCAGACAGCCAATGTTGAAATTAGACCATGTTGTGTATTAGGCTGTTGAAACTTGGGAAAGAGCTTAAGGACTTTCACATTGCCTTTGGGAACCTGTAGGGTCTGCAACCTCCCTTTCCTTACCACTGGCTTTACTATTCCACGCACACCATTCAGGTTTTTATTCTTGGTTAATTTCCCCCCATCTTAGGACCACCTATAATGTTCATTTTTTTCAAGCTTTTATCTACCAAAAATATTTTCAAAGGATGGAGCAGTGACACGTACTGTGACTAGCCTGAGATTTGTACAGTCCCAAGAGTGTATTGTGCCCAGCTTCCCACCCATGAGATCACTCTGGTGAATGCAGACCTTGGTTGTTATGTTGAATACATCTGTCAGTTCCAAGCTTGGGCATTTCTGAAAAGCAAGTCCAGGGATGATAGTGTTCATTATTCTCAAAAAGGTCAAAGGAGAGCATAAAATAATTTACAGGCAAGATATTTAGTTAATACATTTATTAATACAGGGTCTTCTTCCTGGTTGAGATGATCACATGTCAGGAAGCATGATTCCCCTGAACCGTTGAGTTGCAGGCTGGAAGGCTAAGGTCCGGGGTCACTCCCTGTATTAGTCTGGGTTCTCCAGAAAACATAAACAAAACCAACAGGTTGTGTATGTGCATGTATATGCATGTGTGTAATAAGAGAGAGAAACAGAGAGATAAATTTACTTTAAGGAACTGGCTCTCCAATTGTGGAGGCTGGCAAGTTCAAAAGTACAGCGGGCTGGAGGCTCAAGAAAGAGTCAACGCTGCAGCTTGAGTCTGAAGGCCATATGGAGGCAGAATTCCCTCTTCCTTTGGGGACCTCACAGGTTTTTTTCCTCAAGGCCTTCAACTGATTAGAGGAGGCCCACCCACATTATGGAATGCAGTCTGCTTTATTCAACATCCACAGATTTAAGTGTTAGTCACATCTAGAAAATATCTTCACAGGGACCTCTAGACTGGTGTTTGACCAAACAACTTGGTTCTCTAGCCCAGCCAAGTGTTCATGTAGGTTCAATGATCCAACAGGGCCCCTCCCTAGGAGTCTTTAGATTCAACATCTCTGGCTCAGTACATGTAATTAAAATTTAAGTCTCAGAAAAAAAGGCATATTTCTACTGTATACAGCATGTTCCACTGTATTGAGCCTTGCCACGTTGGCTATTCTTATTAATATTAATACTAATACTAATAAGATATATTTAGTGAGTTTTCCATGCTATGCCAATCCTGCCTCTGACCAGTTTCTTTCTTAGAAGCTGAAAACACTGTCCCTGCACAGAGGTGGTTCAGTCTATTAGAGGTGTCAAACAAATGAACACTAGTACAGCAGTACAGTAAGGGGCTGTGGGATCACAGAACAGGGACTAACATCTAGGCTTGGAGGGAAATCAAAGAAGTTTCCCCAGAAAAAGAGGTACCTGAGCTAAGGTTTGAACACATGAGGAATTATTTCAGTATGGGAGAGGGATGGAGGAGGAGTGGAGGTTACAAGACTCGCAGCCCATGGAGGAAGAAAAAGGGAGAAGACCCAGGGCACACCCATTGCCATCTTGATTTCTAATACCTGCCCCAATAAGTGAACCAGGGCATTAGTCCTTGGAGAAACAGCTGATTTTAGAGCTGAGGAAGAAATATACAGATAAGCCTGGAGTATCTTGCTGCACCAGAAAGTAAGGAAGTACTCAAACAAAACAAAGCATTGATGAGGGTATGTCGTGGTGTACAGGAGCCAACTGAAAGGGCTCCCAGTGGCCGAAGCTGGAACAATTTGAACAACAAAATAAAGAGAGTAGTATTTGATTATATGTATGAAATAAATATGCATGAGTACATACTGATGTAAAAAATAAGTGAATAAATTAAGAAATGGGGGAGAGGAGACAAATCTCCTTTGCAGTACAAGTACAAATAACTTAGATAGACACTCCACTCTCAAGGAAGTGGAGCTGTGCATGGTGACTTCTTTCCAAAGAGTAGTGTACGGAAGGGATGTTAGTTGGAATTGTAACTTAACAGTGGAGAAACCTGGGCAATCACCGCCTCAGGCAAGTCATCAGGGTCCACATCATGCTGGTAAGTCACGCTGATAATATGCACCCTTGACACGATGTGATGAAATGCCACTTTACCTCCATGGTCTTCTTCCCCGAGCCCAATAACGCCAATCTAGTTCTGAAAAAAAAAAAATACAGAAAGCCCAGTTGAAAGCCATTCTATAAAATTCCTGACCAATACTTCTCAACACTGTTAAGGCCCTTGAAACCAAAGAAAATCTGAGAAACTGTCTCAGCCAAGTGGAACCTAAGGAGTCCTAATGACTAAATGTAATACCATATCCTGGAAGGGATCCTCAAACAGAAAAAGGGCATTAGGTAAGGACAATCTGAATAATGTATGGACATGAATTAATACTAATGTATTTAATTGATTCACCACTTGTGACAAATGCATGCATCAAAGTAATGTAAGATCTTCACAGTTGGGGGAAACTAGATGAGGGGTATATAGGAACCCTTTATGCTATCTTTTCAATTTTTCTATAAATCAAAACTATTCTAAAAATAAACGCTTCTGATAAAAAAAAAAAGCACTAGGCATTAGAGGAACTGAAGATAATTCAGTTTGGCTGGAGCAGAGAGAGTGAAGTGAGAAGTGGTGAGGGAAGATGCTGAGAACAGGAGTGGGACCAGGCCAGACAGCCTTTGTGCCAAGCTCGGGGCTTCAAACTTCACCCAGTGGAGGTGTTTGGAAGCCATGGGAAAGTTCTGAGGAGAGCAGTGACATGATTAGTATCTTAGTCTGTTTTCTATTCCCTGAAACTGGGCAGTTTATAAAGAAAACAAATTTCTTTCTTACAGTTATGGAGGCTCAGAAGTCCAAGGTGGAGTGACTGCATCTGATGAAAGCCCTTTTGCTGTTGGGGACTCTGCTGAGTCACCAGGTCCCCACGTGAAGGACACCACATGATGAAGGAGCTGGGTGTGCATGTTCATATTCCTCTGCCTCTTCTTATAAAGCCCTGCTCCTGTGATAACCCATGATCCACTAACTCATTGATCCATTAATCCATCAGTGGATTATTTCCTTCATGAGCAACGAACCCTCGTGACCCCATCACCTCTTAAAGGCCCCACCTCTCAATACTGCCACATTGGGGATTTAGTTTCTTTTTTTCTTTCCAACTGTTATTTTAGGTTTGGGGTTACATGTGCAGGTTTGTTACATGGGTAAATTGAGTGTCATTGAGGTTTGCTCTACAAATGATTCCATCACCCAGGTAGTGAGCATACTACCTGATAGGTAATTTTCTAATCCTTACCCTGTCCCACCCTCCCTCTTCTTGTAGTCCCCAGTGTCTATTGTTGCCATCTTTATGATCGTGTACACTCAGTTTTTAGCTTCCCGTTATAAGGAGAACATGTGGTATTTGATTTTCCACTCCTGGATTAATTCACTTAGGATAATGGCCTCCGGCCACATTCATGTTGGTGCAAAGTACATGATTTTGTTCTTTTTTTGGCTGTGTAGTACTCCATGGTGTGTATGTACCACATTTTCTTTATCCAGTCCACCACTGATGGGCATCTAGGTTGATTCCATGTCTTTGTTATTGTAAATAGTGCTGCAAGGAACTTATAAGTGCATATGTCCTTTTGGCAGAATGATTTATTTTCCTTTGGGTATATACCCAGTAATGGGATTGCTGGGTTGAATGGTAATTCTGTTTTAAGTTCTTTGAGAAATCTCCAAACTGCTTCTCACAGTGACTGAACTAGTTTACATTTTCATCATCAGTATATAAGCATAGCCTTTTCTTGGCAAGCTCACCAATGTCTGTTGTTTTTTGACATTTTAATAAAACCCATTCTGACTGGTTTGAGATGGTGTCTCATTGTAGTTTTGATTTGCATTGCTCTAATGAATAATGATGTTGAGCATTTTTTCATATATTTGTTGGCCAGATGTATTTCTTCTTTTGGGAAGTGTCTGTTCACGTCCTTTGCCTATTTTTTAATGGGATTATTTGGGTTTTGCTTGTTGATTTAAGTTTCTGATAGATTCTGGATGTTAGACCTTTGTAGGGTGCCATTTGTAAATATTTTCTCCATTCTGTAGGTCGTCTGTTTACTCTGTTGATAGTTTCTTTTGCTGTGCTGAAGCTCTTTAGTTTAATTAGTTCCCAATTGTCAATTTTTGTTTTGTTGCTTTTGGGAACTTAACCATAAATTATTTGCCAAATTGATGTCCAGAATGGTAGTTCCTGGGTTTTCTTCAAGGATTTTTATAGTTTTAGGTCTTACATTTTAAGTCGTTAATTAATCGTGAGTTAATTTGAGGTGAAAGGTAGTGGTCCACTTTCATTCTTTTGCATTTGGATAGCCAGTTATCCCAGCACCATTTATTGAATAGGGAGCCCTTTCCCCATTATGTACTGTTGACTTTATCAAAGATCAGATGGTTGTAGGTGTAGGGCTTTATTTCTGGGCTCTCTATTCTGCAATTGGTCTATGTGTCTATTTTTGTACCAGTACCATGCTGTTTTGGTTTTTGGTAGCCCTATAGTATAGTTTTAAGTAGGGTAGTGTGATGCCTGCAGCTTTGTTGTGTTTGCTTAGAATTGTTTTGGCTATTTGGGCTCTTCTTTGGTTCAGTATGAATTTTAGAATAGTTTTTTATAGTTCTGTAAGGAACAAAGGTTGATAAATTACTGGTATGTTAAATGGCAATGTTTTGTTAAGGAAGCTGTTCTGCTTTACATATCTGAAAACTACTTAGAAAGTGTCTGCATTTCCTAACTTCAGAAGCTACAGTCTTTTTAAAGACAAAGGCCTTTATACAGTTTAGTGCTCAGTGTCCTTAGCACAAGAAAACAATTTAGTTCTGAAGGTAGGTTGGCAACTCTTAAACTAAACAAGAATAGGGGCTTTGAAAAATAAGCGTTTAAGAAGGCTTGTTAGCCAGGTGTGGTGGCTTACACCTATAATCCCCATATTCTGGGAGGCTAAGGTGAGAGGATCACTTGAGACCAGGAGTTCAAGCCCAGCCTGGGCGACAGAGCAAGACCTTGGCTCCAAAAAAAAAAAGAGCTTGTCGTTTTAGAGTCTAAACTCTTACACCTTAAAATTACTGCTTGGTTCAAAATGGTTTTATGGGAAAATTAAATCTGTACCAAAAACTTGGCATTGAGTATGAAGGTGCCACCATTTTCTCAGCAAAGTGTACAAAGGCTCCCTAACATCAAGTTCAATTCCCACAAGGATGACAAAAGTGTTTGGAAAGTAGTGGTGCCACACTTTAGGATACCACTTTGCACCAGCAGTTTCAAATGATGTGGGACTCCCAAGGGAAAAGCAAATTAAGAGCACGTCTGTGTGCAGATAGGATAGGGGGCATAGTTTCTTGTCCAGTTGTATTCCATAAGCCCAGATACACTGATTTTCCAAGTACCATAACATTGGCAGAACAGTTGTCAAAGACAGTGAGGATATAGTCTCCAGGAAATGAGTTGGTTGTATAACCAGTCAATAGGCAAGTTTTACCTGCAGCTCTGTCTCCCACCACCACACGCTTGATGGCCTGCATCTGGGCTGCTCACTGGGCCACAGAGGGCAGTGGCAGCTGGGTGCTGAGATGGGAAGCTGTGGACTTGGGGCACGGCAGACAGGCAGGCAGCTTGCAGTGGAGTGTGGGGCACCAGGGCCGCTGTCCGTGCCACCTCACCATCCACAGACTGGAAACTGAAGCCTGGCAGTGGCCACCACCCGCAGCTGAGGAAAACTGCCTGGAGATTAAGTTTCGACTTGAGTTTTGGAGGGGACACACATTCAAACCACAGCGATTAACTTTCAATTTCAGTCCATTCGGTAGTGGTTTAAAGAATGGAGAGTGGGGTCTTAGACTCGCAATAGGTAGGCTAGAAGGCTGTTCTCTGATCTAAGCAAGACAAAAACGAGGGCCTAAACTAAGCTGGTCACAGATAGTAGAAAGAAAGGGACAGATGTGAATGATAGTGAGAAAATAAAATTGATAAAAATTGGTGACCAGTTGTTTGGATGAAGAGAGGGTAATTTTGTTTGTTTATTCCCTGTATTCCTTCATTTAGTAAAAATTCACTGGGAGCCTGCGCCAGTTTAGCACTGGGTATTTAGCAGGGAACACAATGAACCATTTCCACACTCTCAGAGCTTTCATTCTAAGGAGGGGAGATGGATGATAAAGGAATAAGCCCGTGTAAAAGCGAGGTAATTTCAGCTGGTGATAGCAACCATGTTGAGTAAGCAGTATTGATCAAAGGGGAAATTCAGGAGGGGAATCGATCGCACAGGAGTAAAGTATCAAATTTGGCCAGTAAGTAGAAGGAATTAAGTTAATAAATTCGGGTAAAACTATATAGGCCAGCTAGATCTTATGGAAAAAGCCATGGAAAGGAGAGAAAGCAGGCCAACCTGCAGACTGAAGTGTGTTCTTCTGACTGCAAGTTAGTGTTAGAAGGAACATGGTAGGAACCCTGAGACCTACAAGCAGAGGGTCTTGGTCAAGGCTCCAGGGCCCATCTTCCACCTCTGTTTGCACTGGCTGTGCCCCCGATCCAGCTTCTGATCCTCAGATAAAACAGGTGAAGTAAGCTGTAATTAGAGGTGGAGCCACTGTGTGGTCTACGTAGCTCTACCATTAGGTGATGATCTGGGGTAAAGTTGGGAAATGTTTCATGGATTTGAGCCTGTGAGGTTAAAAGAGTTTCTGGGTGCTGTCGTGCTCCTGGGCTGTGGTCCAGTTGGTGATGAGCACCTGAATGCCCGCATGGCCTCACACATCTACTCACCAGCATCCCTGTCGGAAGAGACCCAAGGACTGGGTGAAAGAGGATGTTTGCTGTCCTGGTGTTCTGTGGAGGTAGGCTGGAGACTGGGGCAAGCATAGCTCCCTGTCCATACCATCACCAAAGAACTGGGATTTTGTTTTAAGAAAAGAAAGTCGTAAGAATGTTTATGTGTTGACGGGAAAGAAACACAATACTAATACAGAGCAAGAGAGACTCTCTATAGAAAAGAGAGGTAACTGGCAAAGCTACAGGAGGTGGGATTCAGACTACAGGTGTAGAAAGTGGCATCTCTTCCTATAACAGTGCCTGCAGGTTCACACCAGGTCACCTCAATTTCCTCTGAGGTGGGAGGAGTTTGCTGAGAGAGAGGTGGGCAGGCTAGAATCAGGAGCTTAAGTAGCATGGTGATGGTTTGGACAAGCTGCCATAGAGGGTGAGAGAGGAAATGTTTAGAAGCAAGCACGATGATTTCCGTGGGGAGCTGAAGACACAGCTAAAACTTGAATGAACTCAGGCATGAGGGACTTAAATGGAAATATTGGAAGCATCTTACTTTTTATGATACATTGCTCCTGAAAATTTACTTATAAATAACATTTTGACAAATTCTGTTTCTTTCATTCGAAAAACATCGGTCATTTTCTGCCCAGTGAGCTTGGGGCTGGGTGATAACATCGATTAAGAAACCAGACTCCAGGGCTCTTCATCTACAGGAGAAACAGATAGGCAATAGACCCATGCCTCTGGGGTAGAGGCAACAGAGAGACGATGTAGACACCGGGTCTTGTGGCTGGGAGTGGGGTCAGCAAAGGTGATAATTAAATTGGCAGCTAAAGCAATTCATCAAATGGAGGAGCATTCCCGCAGATGGCACAGGCTGTGAGACACAGGAACGTGAAAGGCCTCTACAAAGTGTTGAAGGATCTTGCTATTGAGGAGCAGTCAATGGTGACGGGTCTTACATGGCATTTGGATGTGGCAGGTGGAGACATGTGGCTCATCTCACCTGAAGCAACTGCTCTGAATCCAGGTGCCCTAGAACCATGATACTGGCCTTCCAGAAAGCTAGATGTGGTTTGGGGAGACTACATTTACTGACAGAAGGAACCCACATTTCTTTATTTTAATGGAAAGAATGCAGCAATTGAGACCAATCTGAAAAGAAAAAGTCATTGGTTTCTTCCTATTTTCCACCCTTTCCCAACTGTTTCCCTGTGTTGTACCACTCTTTAAAAGTTTCGATTCTGGGCTGAACATGGTAGCACATGCCTATGGTGCTGGCTACTTGAGAAGCAGAGGCAGGAGGATCGCTTGAACCCAGGAGGTCAAGACTGCTGTGAGCCGTGATCATGCCACTGCACTCCAGCCTGGGCAATAGAGAGAGACTCTGTCTCAAATAATAATAATAATTAAAAGTTAAAAAAATAAGGATTTGATTCTGTACAGAATTTCTTCTTGTATCTCTTTCTTTCCATTGCCTCAGAATTAGTTTTTCTGCCATGCTTCTTGGCCAAAGAGACGTTAGGTTCCTAAAGACTAATAATATTCAAATAATGTTCAAATTATATTCAATCACTTAAATTAAATATGTATAATTAAATGTAGCACTCAGCTCTAATAATCATTATTCTTCTGAAATATGATTCACTCAGACAGAATACACTATTCCCAATATTATCTTTCACATAAATTATTATACTTAATTAGTATAACCAAACCCAGTTTCCCACAGAAACGGTGACCCTTCCACTCCTACCTACGGCCACCACTTGGCTTCATCCTATGGATTAGCCTTCCACAGTGCTGTCTGTGCTGCTCACTGTTAGTTTGGATCTAGAGGAATAATGAACCTGTTTGCTGGGGATTTATGGCATCATTAGAGATCACCAGAGAAGAAGAATATGCCCACAGGTGCTCACAGCTCATTCAGTACAGAGGACTGTCCTGGCTCTGAGTCTAACTAGAGACCCCAGTACCAGAGACTAGGAGAAGGGCTGACTGCTTCTGGGTCAACTTTGAATATGCAAAACTCTTTTCATTGATTAGGGCCAGTTGATTATTTTACATTCCCCTGAGAAAGCACAGTTATAAAGCGTTAACTCCTCCAAGGCTCATTCATCCATTGTACGGGATTAAATACCTAACTTAGAGGGCAGGCACAAAAATAGGAGGAGATTAGGTTGGATAGCATGAAATTGCTGATATTTGATTACTTTTTGACCTACAAAAACAAGTGTTTTTGTATATCATCTAATATATCAACATGATGTGAATTCATGTTACAATTATACAGTTATAACACCTATAACATCATGTATCAATCCATAGATTTCTTGCATTTCAAGAGGGAAGATTGGGATAAACCAAGAGAAAAGATGATTCTAACAGTTACTCTCCTAATCGACATTGCTTGTGAAGTCTGTGCCACTTTTAGGTCTCAGCTCAAATGGAGAACAAGGCAGACTAAATCTTATTATTCTGCCAGTTTTCTGCTTACATGGAGGGAAATGGATTAAATCAGGGTTGTTGCTTTCTCAGCCTGTTACCATCATTCATGTCAGGGGAGGCAGGAAGAGAGAAGAAAAGCCAAGACTTATAGAAGAGTTTGCTGGGAATTTACACCATTTGCACCTGAAAGATCCACAACCAAGTGGCCTCTTGTGCCAGTCCCCTCTCTTGCTCCAGATGAGCTCTTTCTGACAAGCGCACCCACTTTCTGGGTGCAGATGGTCTTTCCAATAGGATTCCACTCACGTTCTCAATCATTCAGCAAAAACCCACTGTGTTCAAAGGACCATATTGTGGGTTTCATTGTTTCTCTGGAGATGATAAGTTAGCCCTAGACCCTATCACCTATGTGTGAACTCAAAAAGGACCTGGTCCCCTCTACACCTGTTGGACCTCATTTTCAATTCCAGGCTGCGTATCAATGAAGGAGCACATGGCTACTGATGCCATAGAATGGTAACTTGGCAGAGTCACAGCTACTAGCTGCCATAATGAGCCTTGTATTGCTCCAGCATTAACATTCCTGCTCTATCCAAGATAATCCATTTGCCATGTTCTGAGTGTAACTCCTTTTTGGGGGGGCATGGGGGACAAGGCCTCACTCTGTCACCCAGGCTGGAGTGCAGTGGCGTGATCATAGCTCACTGCAACCTCAAACTCCTGGCCTCAACCCATCCCCCTGCCTTGGCCTCCCATTTCATTGGTATTACAGGTGCGAGCCACTGCCCCCAGTCCAACTCCTCTTCTTTGACCTGTAGATTCTACACTAGTCATATCCTGAAATTGGCTTTTGTCACAACTGTGTCCATTTCAAGGTCTCCTGCCTGTTATTCAGGTGCGTTTCTTAACTCCTAGACCCACCTTGGACACCAAACATTATCTTTACCAACACTGTCTAGACACAGCCTGGAACCATTTCCTTGCTTCTTAAAATTTATGTATTATGGACAAATACATGAATCAAATAGTTTTATAAGATGTGTAGACAAAAACAACAGCCCACTGCACCCCTCCAACCCATCCATTTTCCCATTCCTGAAGGCAACCTGTTTTAGTTTTTCAGTTGACCTCGTTGGTGTTTAATTCCATATTTCTGAATAGCATGTTTGCATTGATACTTCGTGATTGTTCTGCTCTCGGCATTCTCTATTGACTTCGTACTATAAAAAAATAAGAGTTGAGCTATCTTTTCTCTCTGTGTTCGTATGATCCCCAAGCACCCTTCCCAGCCATCTAGTCTCCAGTTCATTTATATCATTATTTTTAAATATACTCATCATGTTTATATTATTATAAGTCAAATTCACCATTGAACTTGTGGTAAATTATTATTGCTATTCTTTCATGAGCAACCTTTCATCATTTTCTTAGATTCTTTTTATATTTTTTTCTTTTAAAAAAAAATTCAATAGGTTTTTGGAGAGCAGGTGGTGTTTGGTAACATGAACAAGTTCTTTAGTGGTGATCTCTGTGATTTTGATGCACCCATCACCCAAGCAGTGTACACAGAGTACAGTTTTATTCCTCACCTCCCTTCCACACTTCCCCCCGATCCCCAAAGTCCCTTGTATTATTCTTATGCCTTTATGTCCTCATAGATTAGCTCCCAATTACAAGTGAGAATATACAATGTTTGGTTTTCCATTCCTGGGTTACTTCACTTAGAATAATGGTCTCCAATTCCATCCAAGTTGCTGCAAATGCCATTATTTCATTCCTTTTTGTGGCTGAGTTATTTTTTGTGGTGGAATATTCCATGGTATAAGTATACCACATTTTCTTTATCCACTCATTGATTCATGGGCATTTGTTCCATATTTTTGCAGTTGCAAGTTGTGCTGCTATAAACGTGTGTGCAAGTGTCTTTTTTCATATAATGACTTCTTTTCCTCTGGGTAGCTACCCAGTAGTGGGATTGCTGGATCAAATGGTAGATCGACTTTTATTTCTTTAAGGAATCCCCATACTGTTTTCCATAGTAGTTATACTAGTTTATATTCCCACGAACAGTGTAAAAGTGTTCCCTTTTCACCACATTCATGCCAATATCTTTTTTTTTTTAATTATGGCCATTCTTGCAGGAGTAAGATGATATCCCATTGTGGCTTTGATTTGCGTTTCCCTGATAATTAGTGATGTTGAGCATTTTCCCTTATGTTTGTTGGCCATTTGTATATTTTCTTTTGAGAATTGTCTATACATGTCCTTAGCCCACTTTTTGAGGGGATTTTTGTTTTTTTCTTGCAATTTGTTTGAGTTCTTTGTAGATTCTGGATATTAGTCCTTTGTCAGATGCATAGTTTGTGAAGATTTTCTCCCACTCTGTGGGTTGTCTGTTTCCTCTGCTGATTATTTCTTTGGCTGTGCGGAAGTTTTTAGTTTAATTAAGTCCCATCTATTTATCTTTGTTTTTGTTGCATTTGCTTTGGGATTCCTGGTAATGAATTCTTTGCCTAAGCCAATGTCTAGAAGGGTTTTTCCAATGTTACCTTCTAGAATTTTTATAGTTTCAGGTCTTAGATTTAAGTCTTTGATCCATCTCGAGTTGGCTTTTGCATAGGATGAGAGATGAGAATCCAGTTTCATTCTTCTACATGTGACTTGCCAATTATCCCAGCACCATTTGTTGAATAGGGTGTCTTTCCCCACTTGGTGTTTTTGTTCGCTTTGTCGAAGATCAGTTGGCTCTAAGTATTTGGCTTTACTTCCAGATTCTCTGTTCTGTTTCATTGGTCTATGCGCCTATTTTTATACCAGTATCATGCTGTTTCAGTGACTATAGTAGCCTTATAGTAGTTTGAAGTCAGGTAATGTGATGCCTCCGAAATTGTTCTTTTTGCTTAGTCTTGCTTTGGCTATGTGGACACTTTTTTGGTTCCATATGAACTTTAGGATGCTTTTTCTAGTTCTGTGAAGAATGACAATGGTGTTTTGATGGGAATCGCATCGAATATGTAGATTGCTTCTGGCAGTGTGGTAATTTTCACAATATTGAGTCTGTCCAGCCATAAACATGGAGTGTTCTTCCATTTGTTTTTGTTGTCTATGATTTCTTTCAGCAGTGTTTTATAGTTTACCTTGTGGACATCTTTCACCGCCTTGGTTAGGTATATTCCTAAGTATTTTATGTTTTTTGCAGCTGTAATAAAAGGGGTTGAGTTCTTGATTTGATTCTCAGCTTGGTCGCTGTTGATGTTTAGCAGTGCTACTCATTTGTGCACATTGACTTTGTATTCTGAAACTTTACTGAATTCATTTATCAGATTTAGGAGCTTTTTGGATGAGTCTTTAGGGTATACAATCATATCATCAGCGAACAGCAACAATTTGACTTCCTCTTTACCAATTTGGATGCCCTTTCTTTCTTTTGTCTGATTGTTCCAGCTAGGACTTCCAGTACTATGTTGAATAGGAGTGGTGAAAGTGGGCATCCTTGTCTTGTTCCAGGTCTCAGGTGGAATACTTCCAACTTTTCCCCATTCAGTATAAAGTTGGCTATGGGTTTGTCATAGACGGCTTTTGTTTTTATTTATTTATTCATTCATTCATTCATTTATTTTTTGAGACAGAGTCAATGCTGTGTCGCCTAGGCTGGAGTGCAGTGGCATGATCTCGGCTCACTGCAACCTCTGCCTCCCGGATTCAAGCGATTATCCTGCCTCAGCCTCCCAAGTAGCTGGGATTATAGGCACGTGCCACCACACCCGGCTAATTTTTTTGTATTTTTGGTAGAGATGGGGTTTTGCCATGTTGGCCAGGCTAGTCTCGAACTCCTAGCCTCAAGTGATCCACCTACCTTGGCTTCCCAAAGTGCTGGGATTATAGGCATGAGCCACTGTGCCCAGCCCATAGATGGCTTTTATTACCTTAAGGTATGTCATGAGTAACCTTTTAATTCTCCATAAAATTAATTATTGTGTTTTTTGTTTGCTTGGTTTTCTATGACCCTATCATAAATTCAACTCCAAACTCTGCACCAATTTTTTTTAAACTTTACTCAAGAATTTAGGCCACATAAACATTCCAACAAATTTGTCTTCGTAGGTAAATCTTTTCCAGAGTTTTCCCACTATGCCTAATGCGCAGCTGTCATCCTGGCATCTCATTCTGGGTATTCACTCCCTGCCTTCCGATCCCTGCATCTTGTATCTTTCTTTCTGGGATTGTTCCCTTATTTGGTAGAACACATCATCTAGGAGCATACAGAGAAAGGGGGCATGGAAGTACATGTTTTGAGACCTTGCACATCTGAACCTTTCTTTAATCTATTTTTATACTTAACTGATAATTTGGCTAGAGTTGAAAATAATGATCCTAGAGAATTTTAAAGTTCTTGCTCTTGTGTCCTTTAACATCCAAAATTGTTATTGAGAAGTCGGAAGCCAAGTTAATTCCTGACCTTTGAATATACCTTTAAAAAAAAAATCTTCCCTGGAAGCAAGTAGTAGCTTTTGTAATTTCAGAATTATATGCCTTAACGTGGGTTTATTTTCATCTATTGGAACACTCAGAAACTCAGATGTTTCAGTTTTAGTAAATCTTCTTGAATTGTATTATAAATAATTTGTTTCCTTCCATCTCTCTTTTCTAAACTGTGTATTACGTTCATGCTGAGTTTCATGACCTGGCCCTGGCCCTCTAATTATCTTTGCTTTTCTGTTTCCTTCTGTTTCCTACCTCTTTGTGCTTTTACTCCACTTTCTAAGCTCCTTAGATTTGTTTTACAACCCTTCCACTGAGTTATAAATTTCTGTTTTATATGTTTAATTACAAGAGCTCTTTTTTGTTTGCCAACTTTTTAAATTTAACATTCTATCCTCATTTCGTGGATGCAATATTTTCTCTTATCTCTTTGAACACATAACAGATCTTTTGGACTTTATTCTCCTTGAAGAGTCTGTTTCCACCAAAGTGGTTGTTTTTTCTGTTTGTTTCAGCTCCTATATTTCAAATTAAAGAATAAATAAAGACTTCCAGTGAGCCTTGGCTGTCCGCTCATACTTAGGAGCAGGGCACTATAAAGTTGATGGGAAGCTCTGAGCTCATGGGTTAGAATGGATGACTTTAAGTTTAACTCTAGGGTTATCTAGTTGTGGGTTTGTTTGTTCATTCATTTTTAGAGGTGGGATCTCACTCTGTCACCCAGGTTGGAGTGCAGTGGCATGATCATAGCTTATTGCTACCTCAAGCAATCCTCCACCCTCAGCCTCCCAAGTAGCTGGGACTACAGGTGTGCACTACCATGCCCAGCTAATTTTTGTTTGTTTGTTTTTAGAGACAGGATCTCGTGATATTGCCCAGACTTGCCTCGAATTCTTGGGCTCAAGCAATCCTCCCAGCTTAGCGTCCCAAGTCACTGAGATTACAGGCATGAGCCACCATGCCCAGCTTAGTTGGGCTATTTAATTGAGGGATATTAGTGTACATATCTTTGGATCTTTTTTCTTGGTCTCTCAGGTTTCCAAGATAAGACTCTTCCAGTATCCCTCATGGAGAGAAGTGGCCTGACAGCCTCCTGGGAGCTGAGAAGGAGGAGAGCTATAGTATCAGCATCTGGCAGGTGTCCATGTAATTAATTTCCTATTTTATCTGTGGCATCCCCATCTTCAATTTTGACATGTGTCCACTAGTCCAGAGATTGTGTTCTATCTTTTCACAACTATTCAGCTCCAGTCTTTTGTCAGTGTCGGGAGGGACAGTACTCTTATTGCTGGGAATAGAGGAAGCTGGAGGGTATAACTGCTCAGTAAACAGACTTTCCACCAATGCATCTTTATTTTAGTGCCACCTCATTTGCCCTCACTTCCAAAGGTATTCACTGCCATCAATTTCTGAGCCTTCTTGGGGTTTTGTAGTATAATTAGTTTGGTTCTCAGTTTTCCCCACTGCTGGGTCTAGGATTTAGTTTCTTCAGGTCAACTAAGTCATTTATTATAAGTAAGTAGTTTTCCAATGTACAAAAACTTGTATTAATCAAACATCTCTTGGACACAATCTATAGAAAATGGTTTAGAGTCTAAGGACTCATTAACTTCACAAATATTTATAGTAAGCCTACTCGATGTTAGATACTATTTGTCCTAGTCTGTTTTGTGTTGCTATAAAGGAATACCTGAGGTTGGGTCATTTACTAACAAAAGAGATTTATTTGGTTCACAATTCTGTAGGCTGTACATAAAATGAGGCATAGTGCCAGCATCTGCTTATGATAAGGGCCTCAGGAAGCTTCCAATTGTGGTGGAAGGTGGAGGGGAGCAGGCATCACATGGTAATAGGAAGGAAGCAAGAGAGAGAGGGGAGGGAGGTATCAGGCTGCTTTTAGCAATCAGTTCTTGCAGGAGCTAATAAAGCAAAAACTACTCACTCACTGTCCCGAGAATGGCACAAAGCTATTCATGAGGGATCTGCCCCCATGACCCAAACACCTGCCACCAGGCCCCACTTCCAACATTGGTATCACATTTTAACATGAGATTTGGAGAGGACAAATATGCAAACTATATCACTATTCTGTTCACAAGAGGTACAGTGAATAAAACAGACAATAGCCCTACTTCATGGAGGTTACAATCTAGTGAGCTTGCATTTATATAGATTACATTCCAAACAACTAAATAAGTGGATGGATAATAGAACGTCAGGTAGGTATGGAAGAAAAAATAAAGCTAGGTAGCCATGCGAGAGCATGCTGTTTTAGAAGGATGCTCAGGGAATTCCTCTCTGATGAAGTGACATTTGACCAGACTTGAATGTGGCATGTAAATTGGTCATGCATGTGCCTGCTAAGAACTTTCCAAACATGGGCAACTTCAGGTGCAGAAGTCCTGAAACAGGAGTGTGCTTGGCCTGTTTGAGAAACAAGAAGGAAGCCCCTTTGCCTGGTAAGAGTAGTGAGGGTAAAGGCACAGAGCCATCTCGGGTCAGCTCATGCAAAGGTTCCAAGAGTCAGACTGTGTGTTTTTGTTTTGTTTTGTTTTCTTTTCTTTTCTTTTTTATTATTATTATACTTTAAGTTTTAGGGTACATGTGCACAATATGCAGGTTAGTTACATATGTATACATGTGCCATGTTGGGGTGCTGCACCCATTAACTTGTCATTTAGCATTAGGTATATCTCCTAATGCTATCCCTTCCCCCTCCCCCCACCCCACAACAGTCCCCAGAGTGTGATGTTCCCCTTCCTGTGTCCATGTGTTCTCACTGTTCAATTCCCACCTATGAGTGAGAACATGTGGTGTTTGGTTTTTTGTCCTTGCGATAGTTTACTGAGAATGATGATTTCCAATTTCATCCATGTCCCTACAAAGGACATGAACTCATCCTTTTTTATGGCTGCATAGTATTCCATGGTGTATATGTGCCACATTTTCTTAATCCAGTCTATCATTGTTGGACATTTGAGTTGGTTCCAAGTCTTTGCTATTGTGAATAGTGCCACAATAAACATACATATGCATGTGTCTTTATAGCAGCATGATTTATAGTCCTTTGGGTATATACCCAGTAATGGGATGGCTGGGTCAAATGGTATTTCTAGTTCTAGATCCCTGAGGAATCGCCACACTGACTTCCACAATGGTTGAACTAGTTTACAGTCCCACCAACAGTGTAAAAAACAGACACTTCTCAAAAGAAGACATTTATGCAGCCAAAAGACACATGAAAAAATGCTCATCATCAGACTGTGTGTTTTATTCAAAATGCAGTGGGGAACCATTGAAGGGCTCAAGTAGGGAACTGATAAGCCAAATTTAAATTTTAAAAGGATCATTCTGGCTGCCCTCTGGAGTCCATTTTGAGGTTGTTATAGTGTCCAAATAAGAGATGGTGAGGAGTGGTTAGATTCAAGACATCACTGAAGATAACACCCATAGGATTTGATTCTGGGTTGGAAGTGGCATATGAAAGACCAGCCTAGGTTTCTGGACTGGGAAAATGGAAAAGGAGAATTTCAATCCTGAGATGAGGAAGATTAAAGAAGGAGCAAGCTGTGAGGAAAGCATGGAGAAATGCAGTTCTATTTTCATTCTGAGATGCCCAATAGACATTTAAGAAGAGATGGATGGATATTATGAATTTTGGAGCCTAGAGTTAAGGGAAGAAGTTTGTGACAGAGTTACTTGTTTGAGAGTCATCAGTTTTTAGAAGGTATTCGAAGCTCTAAACAGGATGAAATCATCTGCAGAGTGAGTTTAGAGAGAAAAGAGAGGAGGCTAAATGAATGAGCCCTGATGCACAGCAAAACCCACAAGGGGGACTGAAAGGAGCATACAGTGATAGAAAGAAAATCCAGACAGGAGAGTATCCTCGAAGTCAAGGAATGAAACCATTCAAAGAAGTTTCCCCTAAGAAGTCCATCATCTGGTTGGAAAGATAGGCTTCTAAATCAATGCATAGAAGTACAAGCTTATAAACATTAAAATAGGGTATAAACAAAGTGCTATGGGAGTCCCAAGGAACAAGCTTTAACACCTCCCATGGAAGGTGAGGGAGGCTTCACTGAGCAACATTAAACTGTATTCATTGATTAGTAGAAATTGCTGAGTGAGAAAGTGCAGGGAGGGCACGGCTCCCAGATGAAACAAGCATGGAGAGGCAGAGATACTGAGACATCCACACAGTCACGGAGCTGTGTTTCATCCTTGCTGGTGACTGCAGCATGACAGTTAGTGATGCAGGATATTTTCTTGACCCCTTCATGGAACCCATGACAGGGGTGCTCCATTTACTCAGCCTGCCATGCTCAACCCCTCGTGGGAGAGAGTGAGTAGGAGAGGGACTACAGGAACCAGCCGGCCGCTTTGCAGCTGGCAGGAGCAAACTCCATGCACGCCCCGCGGCAGCATCCAGGTGGGGGTGCCTGCAACCCCAAGGCCCCAGAAGGCACCGTTACAATGCTCTCTTAGTTCCGCCATCCACAGACAGCAATGTGTTATCAGCTCAGTGGGCCCTCTGCCTCATCACATGGGGTGGCTGCCCTCCACCAGTGAGGGCAAAGGACCAGTTTGACAGCCTTTTTTGGGTACCAGCACTTGGTGGGTCCCAAATTCTTGTCCAGTGCCCAAAAAGAATGAGATGACATGGATGAATTGAATAATGGTAAATGTGGAGAATTTTACTGAGTGATGGAAGTGGCTCTCAGTGGAGAAGGCAGCTGGAAAGGGGACAGTAAAGGCAGGTCACTCTCCCCTGAAGTCAAGTTGCCTCTCCGCCTCTCTCCTCTGAAGTCAAGTTGCCTCTCTCCGATGTCCAGCCATTGTCTCTGAAGTCAAGTTTCTCTCCCTGACATCCAGCTGCTTCTTTCCTCTACCAGCTGAATCTGGGGTCTTTATAGGCACAGAATGGGGGAGCAGGATGGGCAACATTTGATTTGTAAAAAGACGTTATTCAAAAGGAACCAATCAGGAGAGAGAGGGCAAATAGGGATAGAAGTTCTCGCTTTGGGTCACAGGTTTCAGGCTTTTTGACTTGAAGGCCGGGCTTCACCAGGGACCCGCCCCTGTCTGCCTAGAGTTTCTCTGCCCCCTGCTTCTATCATTCAGAATGTACGATTTAGCAGAAGAAAGTGTGGTAGACCCACACAAGCATCCACACTGACAGAGGAGGCACCTGGCTTTGAGACTTTCCTTTGTGGGTTGGCTGCATCAACTGCTTCCTGTCATGGATGAAACCACAGAGCCTCATGATTATGGTCCTGGCTCTCACCTGGATGACAAGGCTGCATAGGCACTCTGGCCTTTGATGCCTCTTGAGGATGGAGTAGGAGAGAATTACAAAGTGGTTAACAACTAAGAAGACCTAAGGAGGGTCCGGCATCCTAGGGAAAGTTTGGGGACCGACTTTATTCTGGGATATGTCTGAAAAAAGATTCAAAAGAAAACATGTCTGGGCCTGCCACATAGAAGGCACCCAAGTTATTAATTCAACCAGACTCTGCAGCTGCGAACAGATGAGTAATGCTATGGATCATTTGCAGGGTCCTGCAGGAGAGTTGGCTGAACGTAAGACGTGTTATGATATGAATAACCTTTCATGGGTAGAAACACATGTGCTATCTCTGCAGAGGTATATTCGTTTTTAACTTTCTTCTTAGCAGCACAGTAATGTAAAATCTCCTTCTTTGGTAATGATGTCATCAACATCATTACTCTAGGGCTAATCTGCTTCTACAGTTAATTGTGAAACACAGGACAATTAACACTACTACTGTAATAAATACCCTCAAATTCTCAATGGCTTAACACATTAAGTGTTTGTTTCTCACTCCTGTCACTGTGTGACAGTGGTCTGCTGGATCTTTCTCCTCCAAGTGGTGACTCAGGGATCCATGATCATCCTTCTTGTACTACGTCCACCTTCTGTACATAGTCGCTGTGATCTCCAGGAAGGGGGAAAAGGACTACGGAGGGATTTCTTTCCAGACCTGAAATTGATATACATCATTTCCACCTACATCCATTGACCAGAATCCAGTCACATGCACCCAATCTAACTGCAAAGGAAGTTGTGTCCAGGAAGAAAAAAATGAAGTTTGAGAGCATACATGCAGCTATCCATCTAGTGTGTCTGCCTGTATGTATCTATATGCATTCACACTCACACACACCTGTGGCAGACTTAAAAGAAAATAGCATAACCACAGCATGTTTTATAATTGTTCTTGCAAATACTCTTCTAATCACTTGCACATTTTATAACAAAGATTCTGTTTGCAAAGCAGGACTGCATCACAACTTACTTGAAGGTGAATGAGATTATATTCTATTACACCTGTGATTTTTACGGAGGCACAGTTTCCATTATACATGCATAGTACCCAGCATGGTGCAAAAGCATGTAGGTATTCAATAATCATATTGACCAGATCCTTAGATGGGTGGATGATGGGTGGGCAGTTCAAATCAGAAATCATTTTTGTTGTGGTTCTGTGACACACAGGAAGGAGTCCTGGGTGATGCCTTCTGAGCTCATGGCACCATCTTTATGCACGTGCATGTCCCCCTTATGGCATCAGTGGGGCCCATGCATGTAGAAGTAGGCCAGCTGCCCAGTAAATCTCCCTCCTACTGCTAGACAGTAAAGGCAGGTCACTCTTCCCTGACGTCAAGTTGCCCCTCTGGCTTTCTCCTCCGAAGTCAACTTGCCTTGGGGTTCTCTCTCCAGCAAACAGCTGCCACTGACAGAGTCAGAGGAAATGGTACATAATAAGCAGTATAATAAATAGTCCATTGGACCTTCCATGTGGATCATTATCAAGTCATTTGTATCAGAATTAATATTTCATATAGCATAGTTATATGAGAACACTGAAAGAAACAGGGGCATGATTAATACATTCTGATGATATGGTACCAATTTTATATTATTCAGTAAAGTTAATTCTGTCTCTAAAGAAAGGCTCCTACCATTTCAAGTTTAAAAAAGACTATCTATGATCATGGTCTTTAGGATATAAAAGGTTGGCAACTACTGATGTAAAAAGAACCAAAGAATAAAAAGAATCCAAATGACAGCCATAATCAATATCTTCCCCAAGCGGAAACAAATTCTTTTTTCTTTTGTTTTTTTCAACATCAGTTAAAGAGCATGCATCTGTCTTTTTTGATACATTGCTAATTTAAAAAGTAATTTTAGGCTGTGTAAGCAATACAACCACAGAGGATATGGGAATGAAAGAAAGTTCCATAATCACAACATCCTGACACAATTATTTTATCACTTCATTTCCTTCGAGAGTTTATTTCCATCTGTATGTTCTGCATAGTTGCAAGCATGGTGCGTGTAACCTTTTCCTTTTTTTCATTCCTTGTGTTGAAGATCCCGTTTTTATGAAGTGTAGTAGGTGCACCTAGTAACAACTGAAATGGTGTCGAAGAGCCTGCTTTGACGAGCAGCCGTCTTCCGCCTTCGCTCACCCACCTCTAGTCTCACACCCCATTGAAAACTTCTTAACTGTTTTGGTTATCAGTAGTTCTGCTAATTACTTCCGTAAGTCTAAGTAATATGCTTATAACTTTATGTCTTTTTATTATGAACTAAATACATTAAAAGGTACAAATGTATGATGTAACCACCATCTAGTTGTATTAAATGCAAATATTTTGTTGTACGTTGCTTCCGTTTCTTAAGAAAAATATGTTGCAGATACATTTGAGCCTCTATCCCTACCTCCAGCCCCATCACTTTGTCTCTCCTCCCCCTCCTCAGAGTGACCTTACACTTGATGTTCATCTTTCCTAGGTATGCTCTTACAGTAGCAGTTGTCAAACATTTTGGTCTCAGAATCCCTTCACATTCTTAAAAATTATTCAAGACCTTAACATTGTTTCTGTTAATGCTCATTATAACTATCATTATTTACAGTGTTTGAAATAAAGGCTAAGACATTTTAGAAACATTCATTAATTAATTTAAAATTATATTAAACTCATACACATTAGTATAAATAATATAAAAGGTAAATATATTTTCTAAAGTTAAAGAAGAGTAGCATTGTTTTACATTGTGCAAATTTCTTTAACGTCTGGCATGCTCAAAGACAGTGGGATTCTCAGATCTGTTTCCACATTCAACTGTTGTGTTACATGTTATGCAGCCTGTGGAAAACTCTGGTACACTCATGAGAATATAAGAGTAAAGGAAAAAAATTAGTATTATTATGAAAATAGTTTTGACCTCACAGAATCTCTGAAAAGGTCTCCAGGACCATTTGAGAATGATATTTTATGACATCAGTAGATAAATATAATTGTAAACTATGTAAAATTATTTTGCTGGTTTTCAAGTTCTGTTATGTAGTTTGTATTATTCTATACATAGCATTATGAAATTTGCTTTATTTACTCAATATGGGTTTTTATATTTATAAACTTCCAACATGAGCTCAAATTACTTTCGCTTTGTATGTTACATAATTATATCATGATATCATATTTTCCTAGTCTTTTTTTCATGGTGCTATGGTTTGCATACGCTTTGTCTCTCCCAAAACTTATGTTGAAATTTAGTTGCCAATGTAACAGTGTTGACAGGTAGAACCTTTACCAGGTAGGGCCTAATGGGAAGCTTTTATGTCCTGGTGGCTCCATCCTCATGAGTGGCTTGGTGACCTTCTCACGGTAGTGAGTTCTCACTCTCAAGAGACTGGAATAGTTCTCTTGGGAATGGATTAGTTTCTGCAAGATAGTGTTTGGCCTGTTTGCATGTGTCCACTTTGCCTTTGACCTTCTTCCATGCCCTGCTCAAGCAGGAAAGCCCTTTCCAAAAGTCAGTGCCATGCCCTTGAACTTCCCAGCCTGCCAAACTGTGAACCAAATAAACCTCTTTTCTTTATAAATTACCCAGCCTCAGGGATTCTGTTATAGCAACACAAAATGGGCTAGATTGATACTTGAAATTTTGAAAGTTTTTCCCTGTTACTAACAAAGTTTTAAAGAATATTCTTGTCTTTGTCTACTCTCAAGATTTTGTAATAAATGGAGCTAGGTGGAAAATTGTCCTGTTGAAAGAAATATGTTCCTTTGACTTTTCTAGATATTGCCAAATTGCTGTGCAGAGTAGCCTTGCCAGTTTACACATCCACCAGATGTATGAGAATTCCTGCTGTTCTACAAGGTTGACATTTGTTACCATCAGATTTTCAATTTTTGGTCAATTTCAAGGGTATAAAATTATTCATTTTTATTGCTTCAATTTGCATTTCCTAGATTACCAATACATTTTTTAGTCATTAATGTTTCTTCATCACTGCATTTTCTGTGCATTTCCTTTGCCAATTTTTTCAGTTGGGTTATTTATCATAAATATGTCACAGCTCTTCGTAAGTTCTGATTTCCAATCCTGTGTTGATCATATGGGTGGTAGTTATCATATGTTTTTCTAAATGAAGCATTTACTTATTTAGGAGGCACCTAGAGAGTCAGAGCCCAGTCTCTGGAGGCCAACCGGTTGAGTTCAAATCCTGATTTGCAATTCTTTATATATTCTGAGTATTAAATCTATTGCCAGTTATCTGCATTGCAAAATCTTTACTCATGAGGAACCTTGAGTAAGTCTCCCTGTGCTTCAAGGTTGCTATGAGAGTTAAATTAATTAACATATATAAAGCATTTAAATAGCACCTGTCAGTAGAAGGGGTTTTGTATGTGTCTCCTATAGCTGAAGTGCTGGTTGCCTGCCTTCTAGAACTCATTCTCTCCCTCTCCAGACATAACCCATGTACTAAAAGGTGTATAACCTCATAGTTTATGTTTTCCTATATTTATCTTAGGGGTATATTTTTATAATGAAGTTTTCACAAATAGAATCAGATTGTATTTACCATGCTTCAGCTTGTGTTTCTTAGTTAACATTTCCAATATAGTTTAAATCTTATAATTATAGCTAATGTTTATGGAGAGCTTGCTATATGAAAGCTATGTGATCTTTATATAGCAATCATTTAATGTTCACAGTGGTGCTCTGAAGTAGGTGTATTACTCTGTATAGTCCTTGCTTTGCAGGTGAAGAAACTGAAGAACAGTAATCTTAAGTAACTTGCCTAAAGTCACACAGCTATGAAGTGCAAGAGCCAGCATTCTCAACCAGGCAGTCTAGCTCTAGAACTTGCACTTGTAACCACATGCTGTATACCTAGAATAAGATACAAAGAAGAGTACACAATAACGTATTATATGCACAAGAATCTACCACCTAGCTTAATCAAAACCTATTATTGTGCCACGTTCATTTTAAGGTTTTTTTTTTTTAAAGAAATAGAATATTACAGATACAATTGTGACCTTCTTCATCCTCAGGGGGAATTACTATTGTAAATTGTGTGTTTATCATTTCCATGCATATTTTTATGCTTTACTGCATATATGTGGATCCATTTAAATTATATATTGTTGTGTATTTTTCAAAATTTATATAAGTGCCACAAAACTGGAGTACCATTTAGCAATATCCTTGTTCAACTACTATTTATTATATTTATTCATGTTAATACATAGATATGCTAATATTCAACTACAATACTCCATTGTAGCTGAATAATATGCTATGTTTATCCTTTACCTGTTGATGGACATTTAGTTTATTTCTCACATTTTGCTACTGAAAACAGCACTGCAGGAAACATTTTGTATAGGTTTCTTTGTGCATGTATAACAGAGTTTCTCCAGAGTGTGTACAGCAAAGTAAAATTGTGAGGTCAGAGTTATGAGCATATTTGGCTTTTAAGAGCATGTTACACCAAATTAAATTTATTCTAGAAATGTGTAAGCAGTGTTTAAAGGCTCACTATTCTATATTCTTACTAACACCTGCTATTGAAGATTTTAAATACTTTTTCAATCTAATGCTTATGAAGTGGATGGTATCTTTTTATGGTTTTATTGAGTAATTTTCTGCTTTCTAGTGAGGGTGACCATATTTTCATATTCAAGTGTCCTCTTCACTAAATTGCTGCTCATTGTGTTCACTAACTTTTCAATTGAATTGTCTTTTCTGTATTGATTTGTAATTCTTTATATAGTCTGGATAAATCCTTCGTCAATTATCTGTATTGCAAAATCTCCCTTGCTGTGGTTTTTATTTGCACTTTGTTTGTGAGGTCTTTTTTGTTTGTGCAAGTTAATATTTATGAATGATTTTACTCATGGTTTATACTTTTTCATATATACATATTTCTTGTCTAAGAAGTACTTCTGTAGTCTGAGATTATAAAGATATTCTTCTACTATTTTGAAAATTTTAAACATTTCCTTTATGCATTTAGTTATTTAATCCCTGAAATTTGTCTGTAATGATAATAGACCTCTAATGCTAATATGAAGTACATCTCTAATTCTAGTTTTTTTCGGTATTAAGTAATCTCATTAACTGCAGTGCATCTTGTCAGTTTTCAAAATTTCACATACACATAGGTTTGTTTCTTTTACTATCCACTGAATCTCCCTGTAATTAAGTGCCACACAACCTTAGTTACTCTAGCTGTACTATAAGTCTCACTTCCTAACAGGTCAAATCCTCTATTTGGCTTTCTTCTTAGTCATGTCAAATATACTTGTCCATAGTTCTTTAATATTAATTTTAAGATGAACTTGTCAAGTTTTGTAGAAACGCTTTTTGAGATTTTGATTAAACATAGCTTACTTTTTCATATTCTTCTGAGGGAAAAGTCAACAAATGTATCATAATGAGTTCTCTAATATGTGAACATGATATGTCTCTCCATTTATTCATTTCCTCTTTTATGTCCCTTGTGATTGTCAATTATATGAGTCAACCTGACTGGGCCACAGGGTGCCTGGATATTTGCTCAAACATTATTCTGAGTGTGTCTCTGAGTGTGCTTTTTGATGAGATTACCATTTGACTTAGTAAACTAACAGTAGACTGAGTAAAGCAGATTGCTTTATTCAGTGTGGGTGGACCCCATGCAATCAGTTGAAAGCCTGAATAGAAAGAAGGCTGACCCTTTTACAAGGAAGAGGGAATTCCTCTTGCCTGACTGCTTCAGCTGGGATAACAGCTTTCTTCCTGCCTTCAGATTAAAATTGAATCATTGGTTCTTCCTGCGTCATGAACTTACTGGCCTTTGGACTATAATAGAACTATACCATCAGCTGTCTTGGGTCTCCAGCTTGTCAGCTGAAGATCTTGGGACTTGTCAGCCACTATAATCATGTGAGTCAATTTCTTATAAGAAATCATACACATACACACACACACATACATACACACACACACACAGGATCTGTTACTCTGGAAAACTCTGACTAATATAGATTTTGGTGGAGATGGGGTGGTTGAAGGAGTTTTGAGGACCATGCTAGTAAAACATTAGATTACTGTGAAGGGACTGTTGATAGAAATATGGATGTTAACGATGATTCTGGTGAGGGCTCAGAAAGGTAAGAAGAGAATTGAAGAGAAAGCCTCCATCTTCTTAGAAAATAAGTGAATAATCATGAACAGAATGTTGGTATAGGTATGGACAATACCTATACCATTCTGGTGCCATTCTGGTGGTCTCAGACAGAAATGGGGAACAAGTTATTGGAAATTGGAGGAAAGATGATTCCTCTTATAAAGTGACAAAGAACTTCGCTGAATTGTGTTCTAGTGGAATGCAACTTAGTTGCAAGCAACTAAGTTGGATATTTAGCTGAGGAATTTTCTAAACAAAGTGTTGAAAGAGCAGCTTAGTTTCTACTTAGTGTTTACAGTAAAATGTGAGAGAAGAAAGATAAATTGAAAGAAGTGGTAAGCAAAAGGAAACCAGAACTTAAAAATTTGGAAATTTCTCAGCATTTGTATGTTATGAAAAATGAGGAAACATTCTGGAGAGAACAACAAAGATGTGGTTGGACAATCGCTCCATAAAGAGGTTATCCATGATGTTAATGAGCCATCTCAGCAGAAGCCAGGGATAGAGATGAGATTATACTGGCAGAGACACTGTCAGTATGGACCAAAGGGGACAGTGTTAAACAGTAGAGCTGTTTGGTTGTGAACATGCTTCATCCTGCAAGAAAAGGGAAGAATGACCTGAAGGTGAGCCAGAGATTATCAGGGCTACCACTTCCACCATGGGATCATGGGTCAAAACTGCCTCTACCTCATTTTCAAAGGCTAGGGCCACTACCACAGTTTCACTGGCCAGGCCGCATCACCTGGAGCCTTGGGAGCAATGCCACCTAGTAGCTTGGGGTTGGAACCACCTGGCATACATTCAGGGGTGGGACCATTGCCCCAGTGGGTCTGAGAGGCAGGAGCAATTTTCCATTGGGTCCAGAAGGTAAGGTAGAGCCCAGTGGGTTCAGAAGGCAGTACATTGAGCCAAAGAGGATTGTTCCTGAGCCTTAAGATTTAGTGTAACTTGCCTTGATAGGTCTTCACCTTCCTTGGGACCAATCATCCCTCCCTTCTTTCTATCTCTCTCTTTTGAAATGGGAATGTCTATCCTGTGCCTGTTTCTTCATTGCATTTTTGACACACATAAACTTGTCTTGTTTGACAGGTTCACAACTGGATAAGAATTTGCCTCAGCATGATTTCACCTTGAGTCTCAACTATATCTGATTTAAATCATATTTATATGAAACTTTGGGCTTTAGACTTTAGAGTTGATGAGTTGATGCTGAAATTAGTTAAGACTTTGGAGGTTGTTGGGATGAAATGAAGGAATTTTGCATTTGAGAAGGACATGAATTCTGGAAGTGCTAGGGGTGGAATATCCTGGACTGAATATTTGTACCCCCCACCCCAATACATATGTAAATAATTAAGGTTAAATTATGTAATAAGAGTGCTGCCCTGATCCAATAGGATTAGTGGCCTTTAAAGAAGAGATACCAGGGAGTGTGCTCACTCTTGCTCTCTCTCTATCTCCTCTCTCTTCTCTCTCTCTCCTCTCTCTTTCTCCCCCTCTCCTGTGTGTGTGTGTGCACATTGGAAAGATCATTTAAGGACACAACAAGAAGCCAGCCATTTACAAGTTAGGACGAGAATTCCCAAAGAAACCAAATTTCTGGCACCTTGATCAGGACTTCTAGCCTCCAGAAATGTGAGAAAATGCATTTCTGTTGTTTAGGCCACTCAGTCTGTGGTATTTTATTAGGGAAGCCCAAGCTAATACATCCCTCAATACTAATTTTGTATTTTTTGTTTGTTTGTTTGTTTGTTTTATTATACTTTAAGTTCTAGGGTACATGTGCACAACATGCAGGTTTGTTACATATGTATACATGTGCCATGTTGGTGTGCTGCACCCATTAACTCGTCATTTACATTAGGTGTATCTCCTAATGCTATCCCTCCCCACTACCCCAACCCCACGACGGGCCCCGGTGTGTGATGTTCCCTTTCCTGTGTCCAAGTGTTCTCATTGTTCAATTCCCACCTATGAGTAAGAACATAAGGTGTTTGGTTTTCTGTCCTTGCGATAGGTTGCTGAGAATGATGGTTTCCAGCTTCATCCATGTCCCTACAAAGGACATGAACTCATCCTTTTTTATGGCTGCATAGTATTCCATGGTGTATATGTGCCACACTTTATTAATCCAGTCTATCATTGATGGACATTTGGGTTGGTTCCAAGTCTTTGCTATTGTGAGTAGTGCCACAATAAACATACGTGTGCATGTGTCTTTATAGCAGCATGACTTATAATCCTTTGGGTATATACCCAGTAATGGGATAGCTGGGTCAAATGGTATTTCTAGTTCTAGATCCTTGAGGAATCGCCACACTGTCTTCCACAATGGTTGAACTAGTTTACAGTCCCACCAACAGTGTAAAAGTGTTCCTTTTTCTCCACATCCTCTCCAGCACCTGTTGTTTCCTGACTTTTCAATGATCGCCATTCTAACTGGTGTGAGATGGTATCTCATTGTGGTTTTGATTTGCATTTCTCTGATGACCAGTGATGATGAGCATTTTTTCATGTGTCTGTTGGCTGCATAAATGTCTTCTTTTGAGAAGTGTCTGTTCATATCCTTTGCCCACTTTTTGATGGGGTTGTTTGATTTTTTCCTATAAATTTGTTTAAGTTCTTTGTAGATTCTGGATATTAGCCCTTTGTCAGATGAGTAGATTGCAAAAATTTTTCCCATTCTGTAAGTTGCCTGTTCACTCTGATGGTAGTTTCTTTTGCTGTGCAGAAGCTCTTTAGTTTAATTAGATCCCATTTATCAATTTTGGCTTTTGTTGCCATTGCTTTTGGTGTTTTAGTCATGAAATCCTTGCCCATGCCTATGTCCTGAATGATATTGCCTAGGTTTTCTTATAGGGTTTTTATGGTTTTAGGTCTAACATTTAAGTCTTTAACCCATCTTGAATTAATTTTTGGATAAGGTGTAAGGAAGGAATCCAGTTTCAGCTTTCTACATATGGCTAGCCAGTTTTCCCAGCACCATTTATTAAATCGGGAATCATTTCCCCATTTCTTGTTTTTGTCAGGTTTGTCAAAGATCACATGGTTGTAGATGTGTGGTATTATTTCTGAAGGCTCTGTTCTCTTCCATTGGTCTATATCTCTGTTTTGGTACTAGTGCCATGTTGTTTTGGTTACTGTAGCCTGGTAGTATAGTTTGAAGTCAGGTAGCGTGATGCCTCCAGGTTTGTTCTTTTGGCTTAGGATTGTCTTGGCATTGCGGGCTCTTTTTTTGGTTCCATATGAACTTTAAAGTAGTTTTTTCCAATTCTGTGAAGAAAGTCATTGGTAGCTTGATTGGGATGGCATTGAATCTGTAAATTACCTTGGGCAGTATGACCATTTTCACAATATTGATTCTTCCTATCCATGAGCATGGAATGTTCTTCCATTTGTTTGTGTCCTCTTTTATTTCATTGAGCAGTGGTTTGTAGTTCTCCTTCAAGAGGTCCTTCACATCCCTTCTAAGTTGGATTCCTAGGTATTTTATTCTCTTTGGAGCAATTGTGAATGGGAGTTCACTCATGATTTGGCTCTCTGTTTGTCTGTTATTGGTGTATAGGAATGCTTGTGATTTTTGCACATTGATTTTATATTCTGAGACTTTGCTGAAGTTGCTTATCAGCATAAGGAGATTTTGGGCTGAGATGATGGGGTTTTCTAAATATACAATCATGTCATCTGCAAACAGAGACAATTTGACTTCCTGTTTTCCTAGTTGAATACCCTTTATTTCTTTCTCCTGCCTGATTACCCTGGCCAGAACTTCCAACACTATGTTGAATAGGAGTGGTGAGAGAGAGCATCCCTGTCTTGTGCCAGTTTTCAAAGGGAATGCTTCCAGTTTTTGCCCATTCAGTATGATATTGGCTGTGGGTTTGTCATAAATAGCTCTTATTATTTTGAGATACGTCCCATCAATACCTAGTTTATTGAGAGTTTTTCGCATGAAGCACTGTTGAATTCTGTTGAAGGCCTTTTCTGCATCTATTGAGATAATCATGTGGTTTTTGTCTTTGGTTCCGTTTAAGTGATGGATTACGTTTATTGATTTGCGTATGTTGAACAAGCCTTGCATCACAGGGATGAAGCCAACTTGATCGTGGTGGATAAGCTTTTTGATGTGCTGCTGGATTCGGTTTGCCAGTATTTTATTGAGGATTTTTGCATGGATGTTCATCAGGGATATTGGTCTAAAATTATCTTTTTTTGTTGTGTCTCTGCCAGGCTTTGGTATCAGGATGATGCTGGCCTCATAAAATGAGTTAGGGAGGATTCCCTCTTTTTCTATTGATTGGAAGTTTCAGAAGGAATGGTACCAGCTCCTCTTTGTACCTCTGGTAGAATTTGGCTGTGAATCCGTCTGGTCCTGGACTTTTTTTGTTGGTATGCTATTAATTATTGCCTCAATTTCAGAGCCTGTTATTGGTCTATTCAGGGATTCCGCTTCTTACTGGTTTAGTCTTGGGAGGGTGTATATGTCCAGGAATTTATCCATTTCTTCTAGATTTTCTAGTTTATTTGCATAGAGGTGTTTATAGTATTCTCTGATGGTAGCTTGTATTTCTGTGGGATCAGTGGTGATATCCCCTTTATCATATTTTATTGCATCTAGTTGATTCTTCTCTCTTTTCTTCTTTATTAGTCTTACTAGCGTTCTTTCAATTTTGTTGATCTTTTCAAAAAATGAGCTCCTGGATTCATTGATTTTTTTGAAGGTTTTTTTGTGTCTCTATTTTCTTCAGTTCTGCTCTGATCTTAGTTATTTCTTGCCTTCTGCTAGCTTTTAATGTGTTTGCTCTTGCTTCTGTAGTTCTTTTAATTGTGATATTAAGGTGTCAATTTTAGATCTTTCCTGCTTTCTCTTGTGGGCATTTAGTGCTATAAATTTCCCTCTACACACTGCTTTACATGTGTCCCAGAGATTCTGGTATGTTGTGTCTTTGTTCTCATTGGTTTCAAAGAACATCTTTATTTCTGCCTTCATTTCGTTATGTACCCAGTAGTCACTCAGGAGCAGGTTGTTCAGTTTCCATGTAGTTGAGCAGCTTTGAGTGAGTTTCTTAATCCTGAGTTCTAGTTTGATTGCACTGTGGTCTGAGAGACAGTTTGTTATAATTTCTGTTCTTTTACATTTGCTGAGGAGTGCTTTACTTCCAACTATGTGGTCAATTATGGAATAAGTGTGATGTGGTGCTGAGAAGAATGTATATTTTGTTGATTTCGGGTGGAGAGTTCTGTAGACGTCTATTAGGTCCTCTTGGTGCAGAGCTGAGTTCAAGTCCTGGATATCCTTGTTAACTTTCTGTCTCGTTGATCTGTCTAATGTTGACAGTGGGGTGTTAAAGTCTCCCATTATTACTGTGTGGGAGTCTAAGTCTCTTTGTAGATCTCTAAGGACTTGCTTTATGAATCTGGGTGCTCCTGTATTGGGTGCATATATATTTAGGATAGTTAGCTCTTTTTGTTTAATTGATTCCTTTACCATGTAATGGCCTTCTTTGTGTCTTTTGAGCTTTGTTGGTTTAAAGTCTGTTTTATCAGAGACTAGGATTGCAACCCCTGCTTTTTTTGTTGTTTGTTTTCTATTTCCTTGGTTGATCTTCCTCCATCCCTTTATTTTGAGCCTATGTGTGTCTCTGCATGTGAGATGGGTCTCCTGAATATAGCACACTGTTGGGTCTTCACTCTTTATCCAGTTTGCCAGTCTGTGTCTTTTAATTGGGGCATTTAGCCCATTTACATTTAAGGTTAATATTGTTATGTGTGAATTTGATCCTGTCATTATGATGTTAGCTGGTTATTTTGCTCATTCGTTGATGCAGTTTCTTCCTAGCATCGATGGTCTTTACAATTTGGCATGTTTTTGCAGTGGCTGGTACCATTTGTTCCTTTCCATGTTTAGTGCTTCCTTCAGGAGCTCTTGTAAGGCAGGCCTGGTGGTGACAGAATCTCTGAGCATTTGCTTGTCTGTAAAGGATTTTATTTCTCCTTCAATTATGAAGCTTAGTTTGGCTTGATATGAAATTCTGGGTTGAAAATTCTTTTCTTTAAGAATGTTGAATATTGGCCCCCACTCTCTTCTGGCTTGTAGAGTTTCTGCTGAGAGATTTGCTGTTAGTCTGATGGGCTTCCCTTTGTGGGTAACCAGACCTTTCTCTCTGGCACCCTTAACATTTTTTCCTTCATTTCAACTTTGGTGAATCTGACAATTATGTGTCTTGGAGTTGCTCCTCTCGAGGAGTATCTTTGTGGCATTCTCTGTATTTCCTGAATTTGAATGTTGGCCTGCCTTGCTAGGTTGGGGAAGTTCTCCTGGATAATATCCTGCAAAGTGTTTTCCAACTTGGTTCCATTCTCCCTGTCACTTTCAGGTACACCATTCAGACGTAGATTTGGTGTTTTCACATAGTCCCATATTTCTTGGAGACTTTGTTTGTTTCTTTTTACTCTTTTTTCTCTAAACTTCTCTTCTCACTTCATTTCATTCATTTGATGTTCAATCACTGACTCTTTCTTCCACTTGATCGAATCGGCTACTGAAGCTTGTGCATGCATCATGTAGTTCTCGTGCCATGGTTTTCAACTCCATCAGGTCATTTAAGGTCTTCTCTATGCTGTTTATTCTAGTTAGCCATTCATCTAATGTTTTTTCAAGGTTTTTAGCTTCTTTGTGATGGGTTCGAACATTCTCCTTTAGTTCAGAGAAGTTTATTACCGATTGTCTGAAGCCTTCTTCTGTCAACTCATCAAAGTCATTCTCTGTCCGGCTTTGTTCTGTTGTTGGCAAAGAGCTGCGTTCCTTTGGAGGAGAAGAGGCGCTCTGATTTTTAGAATTTTCAGCTTTTCTGCTCTGGTTTCTCCCCATCTTTGTGGTTTTATGTACCTTTGGTCTTTAATGATGGTGACGTACAGATGGGGTTTTGGTGTGGATGTCCTTTCTGTTTGTTAGTTTTCCTTCTAACAGTCAGGACCCTCAGCTGCAGGTCTGTTGGAGTTTGCTGGAGGTCCACTCCAGATGCTGTTTGCCTGAGTATCACCAGCGGAGGCTGTAGAACAGCAAATATTGCAGAACGGCAAATGTTGCTACCTGATCATTCCTCTGGAAGCTTCGTCCCAGAGGGGCACTCGGCCGTATGAGGTGTCAGGTGCCCCTACTGGGAGGTGCCTCCCAGTTAGACTACTCGGGGGTCAGGGACCCACTTGAGGAGGCAGTCTGTAGGTTCTCAGATCTCAAACTCCATGCTGGGAGATCCACTACTCTCTTCAAAGCTGTCAGGCAGAGACGTTTAAGTCTGCAGAAGTTTCTGTTGCCTTTTGTTCAGCTATGCCCTGCCCCCAGAGGTCTACAGAGTCTATAGAGTCTACAGAGGCAGGCAGGCCTCCTTGAGCTGCAGTGGGCTCCACTCAGTTCGAGCTTCCCGGCCTCTTTGTTTACCTACTCAAGCCTCAGCAATGGCGGACACCCCTCTCCCAGACTTGCTGCCACCTTGCAGTTCGATTTCAGACTGCTGTGCTAGCAGTGAGCAAGGCTCCATGGGCGTGGGACCCTCCTAGCCATGCATGGGATATAATCTCCTGGTGAGCCATTTGCTAAGACCATTGGAAAAGCGCAGGATTAGGGTGGGAGTTTCCCGATTTTCCTGGTACCGTCTGTCACGGCTTCCCTTGGCTAGGAAAGGGAATTCCTCAACCCCTTGTGCTTCCCGGGTGAGGTGATGCCCTGCCCTACTTCAGCTCATGCTCCAGGGGCTGCACCCACTGTCTGACAAGCCCCAGTGAGATGAACCCAGTACCACAGTTGGAAATGCAGAAATCACCCATCTTCTGCGTCGCTCACACTGGGAGCTGTAGACTGGAGCTGTTCCTATTCGGCCATCTTGGAACCCTCTGTATTTTGTTTTTGATAGAGATTTTACTCATCTTTTACTAGGCTTCTTCTTAGATGCTTTTAGATTTTGTTACTATTGTGGATAATTTCTTTTAAAATATTTTATAATTGGATATTACCAGCTCACAGAAATGCCTCTGAGTGTTTACACTTATTTTTGTATTCAGAAAACTTACTGAACTCTTGGATTTACCATATTGACAATTATATTGTCCTGTAACTTTGTAGCTTGTTTTCTAGTTTTTTTAAGTCTTCATTAAATTTTTCTTGGTTACTGCATTAGCCAGAATCTCCTGAATTGATTTGAGTGTCTCTTTTACTTTTGTTTATGGTTTCTTACCTTTATATTTTGCTCAAGATTCTAGAAGTGTTCCTTTCATTTATTCTTCAATCACTTTATTGGTTCATTTTTATTTTCTAAGATGTCCTTTTTCTTTCTTTTTTATAAAATCATGCTCTTATTTTAAAGATATAATATTAATTAATCTCTGAGTTTATTTCTTAAATGTCTTTGAGCACAGTGACATCAATTTATTTTTTAATTTTCTTCTACATCTTGAAACATGTTTTTAATAGTTTTTTATGTATAACTCACATACTATAAAATTCTTCTATTTAATATGTACAACTCAATGTATATTAGTACATGGTATCTGTGCAACTATCACCACAGTCCATTTTAGAACACTTTAATGACTTCAAAAGACATACCATACCCCTAGTTTTACTTGCTATTCCCCCCTCCACCCAGCACCATGCAACCACTAATCTACTTTCTGTCTATAGATGTGCCTATTCTGGACATTTCATGTAAGTAAAAGCATACAATATGTGGTCTTTTGTGAACATCTTCCTTGACTTGGCATAATGTTTTCAAGGTTCATCCAATTCATCTATTTTTTCTTTTGCTACTCATGCTTTTGATGTCCTATCTAAGAATCCATTGCCAAGTCTGAGGTCATGAAGATTTATCCTTGTGTTTTCTTCTAACAGTTTGGTAGCCTTAGACCTTATGTTTTGGTCTTTGATCCATTTTGAGTTAATTTTTGTGTATGATGTGAGAAAGGGTCTAACTCATCCTTTTTTGTGTGGATACCCAGTTGTGCCAGCATCATTTGTTGAAAAGACTACTCTTTCTCAATTGTATGGTATTGGCAACTTGTCAAAAATCAGTTAACCATAGATGTATGGGTTTATGTCTGGATTCTCAACTCTATTTTCTTGATCTACATATCTGTTCTTGTGACAGCACCCAATGTATTGATTGCTATTTTTTTCAAGTAAGCTTGGAAATCAGAAAGTGTGACTCCTTCTATTTTGCTTTTCTTTTTGAAGATTGTTTTGGCTATCCAGGGATCTTTGTAATTCCATATGAATTTTAGAGTCTGTGTATTGATTTCTATAAAAACATCAGTGAGAATTCTGGTAGGAATTGCACTGACTAGGTAGATTAATTTGGGGAAGTATTGCCATTTAACAGTGTTAAATTTTCTCATCTAGTAACATGGTATCCTTTTTCATTCATTTAAATCTTATTTAATTTCTTTCAGCATTTTAGTTTTTAGAATGTAACTTTTGCACTTCATTTGTTGAATTTATTCCACAGTATTTTATTATTTTTTATGCTATTGTAAATGGAACTGTTTTCTTAATTTCATTTTCAGACTGGTCATTTCAAGTATATAGAAATGCAATTGATTTTTTATCCTGCTAGTTTGCTGAACTCATTTATTAGTTCTAATAGCTGTTTAGTGGATTTCTTAGGACTTTCTGTATACATGATTATGTATCTGTGAATAAAAATAGTTTTACTTTTTCCTTTCCAATTTGGGTACCTTTTATTTCTGTTTCTGTTTCAATTGCTTTGGCTAGAACCTCCAGTCTAATGTTGAATGAAACTGATGAGAGCAGATATCTGTGTCTTTCTTTATTTTTGAGACAGAGTCTCACTCTGTTGCCCAGGCTGTAATGCAGTGGTGTGATCTTGGCTCACTGCAATCTCCACCTCCCAGATTGATGCAATTCTCCTGCCTCAGCCTTCTGAGTAGCTGGAATTACAGTTGTGCACCACCAGGCCCAGCTAATTTTTGTGTTTTTTAGTAGAGATGGGGTTTCACTATGTTGACCAGGCTGGTCTCGAACTCCTGACCTCAGGTGATCCACCCGCCTCAGCTACCCAAAGGGCTGGGATTACAGGTATGAGACACTGCATCCGGCCATGTGTCTTTCTTCTTATTTGAGTGGGAAGGCATCCATTCTTTCACTGTTAAATATAATATTTGTTATGGGTTTGCATACATACCCTTATCAGGGTGATAAAGTTCACTTCTAGCCTTAGGTTTGTTGAGCGCTTTAATATGAAAGAGTGTCACATATTGTCAATTTTTTTTGGTTTGCTTTGGGTTTTTTTTTCGAGGATTTTTGCTTTATATTTCATTCACAATACCAATTTATGAATGTTAAACCAACCTTGTATTCCTATAATAAGTCTCAGTCTCACTTAGTTATGGTGTATAATTGTCTTTATAAATGTTCCTGAATTTTTTTTTTTTTTTTTTTTTTTTTTTTTTCAGTTAAACAGGGTCTCACCCTGTTGCCCAGGCTGGAGTGCAGTGACATGAGCATGATTCACTGTAGCCTCGACCTTCCAGGAACAAGCAGGCCTCCCACCTTAGCTTCCTGAGTAGCTGAGACTATAGGCATGCACCATTATGCTCAGCTAATTTTAAATTTTTTGTAGAGACAGGGTCTCACTCTGTTTCCCAAGCTGGTCTCAGAACTTCTGGCCTGAAATGATCCTCCCACCTCAGGCTCCCAAAGTGTTGGGATAACAGGCATGAGCCATTGTGCCCAGTCCCTGGATTTTGTTTGGTATTATTTTATCGAGAATTTTTGCACCCATTTTTGTAAGAAGTATCATTCTATAGTTTTCTTGTGAATGACTTTGTCTGGTTTTCTTATCGAGGTAATGCCGCCCTCATAGAATGATTTGAGAAGTGTTCCTCATTTTTTTGGGTTTTTTTTGGTTTATTGTTTGTTTGTTTGACTAATAAAATCTCTTTACTCATTATGTATCTATTTAAATGGCCTATTTCTCTTGAATTAGTTTCAGTAGTTTGTGTCTTTCTGGCAATTTGTCCATTTCATCTAAGTTATCTGATTTATCTGCATACAATTGTTCTTAGTATTCCCTTATGATACTTTATATTTCTGTAAAGTTGGCCTTAATTTCCTTGTTTCATTTCTGATTCTAATCATTTGAGTTTTCTCTTTTTCTTCTTGGTCAGTCTAGCTACTAAAAGTTTGTTAATTGTATTGTTCTCTTCAAGTGAATAGCTTTTCGTTTCATCCATTTTTCTCTATTGTTTTTCTATTCTCTATATCGGTAAGTTCCACTGTAATCTTAATTTCTTCCTCCTTATTTTTTAGGTTTGGTTCTTTTCTCGGTGTCTTATGGTAGAAGATTAGGTTTCTGATTTGATATGTGTCTTCTTTCTTAATACAGGCATTTATAACTATAAACTTTCCTCCAAGCACTGTTTTAGCTGCACTCCACATATTTTTTTTTCATTTTTTTGTAAGTGTGTCTTCATTTTCATTCATCTCAAAGTATTTTCTAATTTCTCTTTGGTTTCTTCTTTAATCCCTTGGTTATTTAAGACTATTTTATTTACTTTACACATATTTATGAGTTTCCCAAAATTGTTTTTGTTATTGATTCCTAAATTCAGATCCTGTATTAGTCAGGGTTCTCTTAGAGGGACAGAACTAACAGGAGATAGAGGTAGAGATAGAGCTAGAGCTAGAGCTAGAGACATAGACATAGACTAGACATAGACATAGACATAGACATAGACATAGACATAGACATAGACATAGACATAGACATAGACAGACATAGACATAGACAAGCTTACTTATCAACTTACATGATCACAAGATCCCACAATAGGCTATCTGCAAGCTGAGGAGCAAGGACAGCCAGTCCGAGTCCCAAAATTGAAAAACTTGGGGCCTGATGTTTGAGGGCAGGGAGCATCCAGCACGGGAGAAAGATGTAGGCTGGGAGGCTAGGCCCATCTCACCACTTCATGTTTTTCTGTCTGCTTTATGTTTGCTGATTAGATGGTGCCCACTGAATTAAGGGTGGGTCTGCCTTCCCCAGCCCACTGACTCAAATGTTAATCTCCTTTGGCAACACCCTTACAGATACACCCAAGATCAATATTGCATCCTTCAATCTAATCAAGTTGACAGTATTAACCGTCACAGATCCCAGTGAAATGAAATTAAGAATCAATAACAAAACATACTTAATGTTATTTCAGTACTTTAAACTTTAGTGAGGTTTATTTTATGGCCTAGCTTGTGGTCTGTCCTGGAGATGTTTTGTGTGCACTTGAGAACAAAGCATGTTCTCCTACTGTTGTGTAGAGTATCCTATAGATGTCTGTTAGGTCTAGCTGATTTTTAGATTTTTACTGAAGTCTTCTACTTCTTTGTTGATCTTTTTCCTCATTGCTTGTCTACTATTGGAAATGAGGTATTGAAGTTTCTAACTATTATTGTTGAATTTTCTATTTCTTCTGTCATTTCTATCAGATTTGTGCTAACTTAATTGCAGTGAGCGATAGGAATGTTACTCCTATTTATGTATTTATTTATTTATTTATTTTGAGACAGGGTCTCACTCTGTCACCCAGGTTGAAGTGCAGTAGCACAATCTCAGCTCACTGCAACTTCCACCTCCCAGGCTCAAGTGATCTTCCCATCTCAGCCTCCCGAATAGCTGGAACCACAGACACATGCCACCATGCCTGGCTAATTTTTTATGTTTATTTTTGGTAGAGACCGGGTTTTACCATGTTGCCCAGTCTGGTCTTGAATTTTTGAGCTCAGGCAATCCACCTGCCTTGGCCTCCCAAAGTGCTAGGATTACAGGCATGAGCTACTGTGCCCCACCCTACTCCTATTTATTTTTAATCACTTCCCCACCTTTAATCATTTCTGTTTCTCTCCATTTCTTCCTGTGTATTTGAGTTACAATCTGAAGTAATCTCTTTATCCCAACATAGCTTTGCTCCTACTCATTTCATCTTGTGCTGTTACTGGCAATATATTCTATTTCTATGTCTTATAGGGCACAGCATACATTATACACAGACTTTTTAATATAATTGCTTTTTACATTACTTACGAGAATAAGGGAAAAGAAATATGCATCTATACTGTCCTTTATAATTACATAATTACTTTTAATGGCTTTTTGTGTGCATGTATTTTTGTGTAAACTCAAATTACTCTCTAGACTTACTTGCTTTCAGCCTGAAGAATTTATTTTAGTACTTCTCGTAAGTCTTGTCTTCTAGCAACAAATTCTCAGTTTTTGTTTATCTCAAGGCGTCTTTTCTTTTCTTTTTTGTCATGATTTTTTTAATGATACCTTAACTAGTTGTAGGATTCTCTGTTGACAGGTTTTTTTAAATATGTTATCACACTGCCCTTTGGCTACTGTTGTTTCTATTGAGAAGTCAGCTGTTAATCTTATTGAGATTCTCTTTTAAATGATAAGCCAGTTTTCTCTTTCTGCTTTCAAAACTTTCTCTGTCTTAAGATTTTAGAATTTTACTGTCACGTGTCTGTGACTCTCTTTTTGGTTGTTCTACTTGACGTTTGTTGAGTTTTCTGCATGTGTAGATCACTGTTTTTTACAAAATTTGGAAAATTTTTAAGCCATTATTTCTCCAAATATTTTTTTCTGCTCTTTTCTCTCTTCTTTTGGTTTGCCCATTATGTATATATTGGTAATTGGTGTGCTTAGTGTCACAACTTTTCTGAGTCTCTGCTAATTTTTTTTATTCTTTTGTTTCTCTGTTCTTCAGGTTACATAATCTTTGTCAATCTATCCCCAAGTCTGCTAATTTTTCTTCTGCCAGTTTAAATCCACTGTTGAGTCCCTCTACTAAATTTTTCTTTTAGTTGTTATACTTTTCAACTCCAGAATTTACGTTTGGCTTTTTAAAAAAATAATATTTGTCTCTTTAGTGGTACTCTATTAGGTGCAACATTGTCATCATATCTTTATCTTTTAAAACATGGTTTCTTTTCGTTTTTTTGAAAATATTTATAACAGTTACTTGAAACTTTGCCTTTTAAATATGACATCTGGTCACTCTCACAGTCAGTTTCTGTTGTCTATTTTTTGGAGGTATGGGTCACAATTTCCTGTTTCTTATATGTCTCACAATATTTTTTGTTGGATACTAGACAAAAATGTTACCTAAAACCCCACTGTAGAGAACATACTGTTGTAACTCTGAGTACTTCTCCCCATCCCTAGGACTTGGAATTGCTCTTTGCTTACTGACAACTTTTGTTACTGTCTGGATCATTTAGTGAGGTTTATTTTCCTCTTGTTCTTTCTCGTTATAGCTCCATTGCCTGAAGTTTCTGATGTTATTCTTTGGTGGTAAGGCCTTGGGTATACCCTGAGTCACCCTAGGATGACAGTGGTGTTGGCAAAGCTATCTTTGACTTTTTCTTTCCCTGGTCACACCTAGTTATTAAACTCCACTACGCACAAACTGGTTATGTCCTGGGGGCATAAATTGTTCTACAGACTATTCAATCTATTGTGGCTCTTTTGAATAGTTTTCAGGTCAATGTTTGAGATTCATGTGGAACCCCGGAGGGCTCCTCCCAGCTGTCTCCTTCCTTGGACCTCTCTGACAAACTAGTAAGCCTAAAGTTGTCTTTTACCACAATATCAGCTGGTTTTGATTGTGCCCTTAGGCCTGAACTTTTCCTGGCTCTGTTGCAAATGAAGTCAATTTCTTTAGGAAATAATTAAGAGATTTCTGTTTTCTGTTCTTTTCTTTCATCCATGAGCAAAATCTTTTTTTTTTTTTTGAGACGGAGCCTTGCTCTGTCGCCCAGGCTGGAGTACAGTGGCGCAATCTCCTTTCCCTGCAAGCTCTGCCCCCTGGGTTCATGCCATTCTCCTGCCTCAGTCTCCCTGAGTAGCTGGGACTACAGGTGCCCACCACGCCTGGCTAATTTTTTTTTTTTTTTTTTGTATTTTTAGTAGAGACGTGGTTTCACCGTGTTCACCGGGATGGTCT